>NC_000013.11:76589924-76741439 GCF_000001405.40 Homo sapiens | reverse complement strand
ACACTGATGGATCCACTCTTTCTATACACAATCAAGATCTTCATTTTGAGCCTTATGCAGTGTTTTTCTATTTTCATTAACTTCTGTACATCACTTTCAGCACAGAACTTCAGTGGATTGTCCTTCTGTTCCTTCAGGTCATATATGGTGGTCATTCTGACACCATGCTCTTACGTAAGATGTTTCACATGTAATAGCATTGTCCAGTTTCTCCAAAAGCTTGGCTTTCTATGCTATAGATAAGCATAAATGCTTCCTCTTCTTCTTTTTACTGTTAGCCATAGGGATATTTGCAGGCCTTGTTGACATTTCCAATAATATCTTTACACCACAGAAAGAGAAAAACAATAAAACATAGTGAGTAATATATGTAGGTCTTGGCACAATATGGGGCATTGTGGGGAAACTGCCATTGATGTGTCCAGCCTGCACAGATACCATTTTATTGCCCTTTGTGGGCATGCTTGAGTGGGGGAATCTGCACACACACAGAAAATATATTGCAGCTGAAAGAGACTAGGAGGATCTTTTTTCCTTGGGGGAGACTGAATAAACTGTGTCGTGTGCCTGTATTTTGGCTGTGACATCATGTCAACACTTAAAAAGTTTTGAATTTTGGAGCATTTTGAATGTTTGATTTTTAGCATAGGGATGTTCAGCCTGTATTTACAGTCAGACACTAGGCAGTTTTAGTCCTTTTGTGGACTGAGATTTATTTCACCTACTTTGAATATATGGCAATGTCTCAGAATCTCCACTTCTTGTATTTTAAAAATTAGTGGCTGTCTCAACCAAGGTGGAATGAGAGGCTATCTGGTAGGTAGCAGGGAAGATGTGGCAGAAACAACAGCATATGTCAAGATCCAAAGATGTAGTGTACTTTTTCGGGGACAGGAAAGGATGGGATGTTGTTGATGGAAACTGTGGGTTCTAAGAGGTTATCAATTAAAGGAGCCTGTAAGAAAAGACGTAGGACTGAAAGTCTCAAAAATGAAGCCAGGAAAGAGACAACCGAGAGCTTCAAATAATGGGGCAGGAATGTGATATCAGGTGCAGAAGTCTGCAACTTATTTTAATCTGCCACATACATTAGAGGTATCCCTGGTGCAAGGCCACAACAAGTGATTTAAGTTTCTATAAACGAGATTGAATCCTTTTCTTTTTCCCCTCAGGGACTATTTTCCTTTTTGCTTTTTACAGGTTTTGCTTTGGTCGACTTCTTTGTATTTAAGTTTTGTAATTTAAGTTTTGGCAGAAATTTCATCTGGCAATAATCTCCATAAATGTGAATTTAGCCAGATAATTTGGACGTGCGGGGGTATTGTGTGCATTGTAGGCTTTTAAAGCCTTGTCACCAGGGCTGGAAAGTGAACTTCCCATGAACATGTCAGATATACACTGTCAGATATACACAGATATATCTTGGCTTCAACTGAATTGAATACATTACTACCTTGCTCCAAATAGACATTGCAATATCATTTTAAAGATTAGTTAGAATGACTCTTATTTGTCCCTCAGACATTTTTATGACATGTAAATGAGAGGCACTGCAGGTCATTCTCATTTGAGTATAGTTATACTCAAATTTTCAGTTTAGCTTTCTTTACAAGAACAAAGTTACATGGATTATATCAAAGTTATCATCAGTGGCATATAAACCAAGAGATGGGACATCTGGGGAGTTTTTTTTTTGTGGGGCCAGGAAAAATTCTGGAATAGCTGAATTCATCTGTGCAAGCCCATTTGTAAAGATGGTGCCAGGGATCTGCAACTGCTGATAGATGTAGAATCTTTACCCACGTGGGAGTTACCAGGGAGTGCCGAGTAACTGGTGATGGAAAGAAGTATAATTAATGTAGTCTCCATTGCTTCAAAAAGGGACATGCAAACCAGTTATGCACAGGTGATGAGTCTGTTTGATCCATCAGTTATGTCACCTGGTTCTTTTGTCCCCTTTGCCTGTGATGCATGGTGTATATTAAACTTTCTGGCATCCATATTGTCAATATGACTGCACAGTAGTCATCCTTGTGCCACTTAACAAACTAGTGTAATAAGCTACTGGGGCTATCCTGGCAGCTTGGCCAGTGGACACCTGGTATTACCCTGAAGGGGAAGGGACAGAAGCAAGCCCCATTGTAGCTCATAAATCCAGCTTCAGGCTTGATCTAGAGATCAGATTAGGTCACAAGTTAAAGATTGGCCTCAGGACTCAGGAGGGCCTCTAAAAGTTACATTCTCTCAGGTTACTTGGAACAAATTAGAAATTCCACAGGATGTTCCAAACAACCCTGCTCTTCAGGTCATTTCTCTAAAAGTCCTCCATCCCACTATGATTTTGAAGCAAAGTTTATAGTGCATCTGAAAATATTGGCTTTAAAGCTGTATCTCCTGTGATTGAAATCATGTATTAGGGCAGTGGCTAAGTTTCTTTAACAAAGAGGTCTGAAAATTTAGTGACTTAAAGCTTATTTCTCTGTCACGTAACAGCCTATGGGTAGGCAGATGTATTGTCAGGGTTATCTACAGACCCAGGCCTCATCTCTCTTGTGCTACCGTCTCCATGTCCCTATCCACATGGTCAAAACTGACTCACTACTCATGGGAAGTGAGGAAAGAGTGGGGAGTATATGGGCAATGTTTTAAAGGCATGCCTCAGAGGTTGGCGTATCACTTCTGCTTACATTTCTTCATTGCCCAGATATATTAATATGGACACAATTAGCTGAAGGGGTCAGTCTGTATCTGAGCTAAACTTTTGAAGCTTCTATTACTAAGAGGGAGAAGAGGAGAATGGGTGCTGGATGATAATTACTGTCTCTGCCACGATTTAGCTCTGAGTGACAGAAAATCCTAAGTAATTATGGCTTAAACAGGATACAATGGCTTTTTTTTTCCATGTTGAAGAAGTTAAAAGAAAAGCACTTGAGAATAGTAGTGGGCTTCTTGTAGTTGTTAGGGATCCTGGGTCCTTCTATTATGTTGCTCTATCATATTTAGCATGTGGTTTTCACCTCATGGTCCAAGATGGGGGCTGTTTATGCTCCTCCTGTTCCATGTATCTTCCAGCCAGCAGTTAAAAAAAAAAATGAAAATGAAGGATGTATCTTGCCATTCTCTTTAGAAACACCTCATGTAAGTTGTATATAAGACTTCCGCTTCCATCTTATCAGCAAGAATGTGGTCACATGGCCAAACCTAGTTGCAAAGGAATCTAGGCAGCTAGTTCAGAATCAATAATAGCACTGCTAAGAAAGGGGAGATGAACACTAGGAACACTAGGAACACTAAGAGCCACAGCCTGCTCTTTTGGTTACTCAATGATTTCTTCTTTACACCCTTACCTTCTCCTCAGAGCAGATAATGCCCAAATCCTATCTGTATTAATTCACATGGGCTGCCATAACCAAGTACCACAAACCGAATAGCTTAAACAACAGAAATTTGTCTCACAGTTCTGGAGGCTAGACAGTCCAAGATCAAGATGTTGGCAGGGTTGGTGCCTTCTTCCGGCTGTGAGGAAGAATCTGTCCCATGCTGTCCCCTGGCTTCTGGTGGTTTGTGGCAGTCTTTAGCCTTCCTTGGCTTGTAGAAACAGCCCTCAGTCTCTGCCTTCACTTCACATGGTGTTCTCCTTGCATGCTGTCTTGTCCAAATTTCCCCTTTTTGGAAGGACATCAGTCATACTGGATTAGGGGCCCACCTGTTTTAGTATGACCCCGTCTTAACTAATTCCGTCTGCAATGGCTCTATTTCCAAATAAGGCGACATTCTGAGGTCCTGGGGATTAGGACTTCAACACAGGCATTTGGGGGCAGACACAATTCAACCCATAAGACCATCCAATAACTGCACTGAGCTCCATAACTAGAAAACCTTGTCATCAGTTCTAGATGCAGCTCTGTGTGCCATAGCAGCACAGAAATTGAACTGCATAGGTCCCTTCCCCCATACTCATCCAATATACCAAGGCAGAGTAAGAAGAGCACAATTATGACAAAAGCCCCATTTAGAAAAAGAGAGTGGAGGCTGGGTGCGGTAGCTCATGCCTGTAATCCCAGCACTTTGGGAGGTGGAGGCCAGCGGCTCACAAGGTCAGGAGATCGAGACCATCCTGGCCAACATGGTGAAACCCTGTCTCTACTAAAAATACAAAAATTGGCTGGGTGTGGTGGCGCACACCTGTAATCCTAGCTACTTGGGAGGTGGAGGCAGGAGAATCCCTTGAACCCAGGAGTTGGAGGTTGCATTGAGCCGAGATCGTGCCACTGCATTCCAGCCTGGTGACAGAGTGAAACTCTGTCTCAAAAAAAAAAAAAAAAAAAAAAAGAGTGGAGAACCAATGGCAGTAATTGTTCCACAGCAATTGTCTTACCTGCTGGGTGGGACTCTCTGCCTTGGCATTAGAGGAAGCGCCATGGTTTTTCCCTTGGGAAGTCCTGAATCTAGTCCATGGAGGATATTCTCTCTTGCTTGTTGTTTCTTGTGGCCACTGGGTTTGCTCTCTCATTTTTAATTCCTTGTTCATTTGTCCCCATGTTGATTCTGAGGTGAGCCTCAGAGAATGCCCAACTGAAGGTTGCAGAAGCCTTGTGGCTGCATAAGTCCCCACGATGTAGTTCCAGGACCTGAGCATTGCTTTGAGGACTGATCTGTCACTGTCTTTTGTAGGCTAGGTTTGAGGTTGCTTTAGCAGTACAAAAAGGCTTACAATTGCTTTGCTTCTGGTCAGTTCCATAGGTAAGAAACATACAGTGAAATATCTTATGTAGAGATGATAGAGGCCTGGACTAGGTGGAGGCAAAGAAGGTGCCCAAAGCACAAAGTGGAAGGAGGCATGCACTGTCAGGTGCTGCTCTGCCCTTGCCCAAGCCTGAGAATGAGGGCTTCTTTAGTTTTGTGTGCTGGGCACTTCCTTTTTTGTTTTGTTTTGTTTCTTTTGAGACAGGGTCTCACTTTGTCACTCAGGCTGGTCTTGAACTCCTGGACTCAAGCCGTCCACCCACCTCAGCCTCTCAAAATGCTGGGATTATAGGAGTGAGCCACCACACTGGGCCCCCCGGGCCTTCTTCTTTCTCACCCTTGCCTTGGCCCTGAGAGATTATATTTAACTCTAAAGTCTCTGGCCTTTAATTTACTGATCTCTTGGCTTTGCTTTTCCTATTTCCCTTCTACCAACTTAATGATGGCTTTAACAGTGGATTTATTTAGCAAAACACCACTTTTATTTTTATTTTTGGCTTGCAAGCTCATAAGATTTGTAGGACAGGACACCATTCTTATCTCCTGCTAAGGCTACTGCTTTGCTGCTGCCACAAAATCCCTCTTCACTTTGGGGTACATATGTTGACTTTTTCAACCCTGCCAGGATTCAGATTATGAGTCTTTCTGTCAAGTTGTAGGGGAGGCCACAAGCAGAGAGTGCTTCCCTCAGCCAAGTGATGTTTCCTTCATCTCTGCTTGCAGACTCATTAGCTCCGACCTTGAGTAATTTTGCAAAAGGTGGCAAGAAGGAGCTAGCAAACACTACGTTTTCCTTACACTGCAGCCTCAGTCAGCAGGTCATCTGCCTTTTAAGGTCAGAGGGTTTCATTTTGACCAAGGGTTTTACCACTGCAAAATGAATGCTGTCAGCTTTCCAGACCTCAGTGCTTAAATTCTCAATGCCAACTATTTGATTGCATCTACTAAGCCATTGCAATATTTTTAAATGTTGTCACGAATCTCTCCAATTTCAGGTTTTAAGTCCTGTATCAGATAAGATTACACCAGTGTGCACATGACAGAGAACTTAAATACGTTTAAACACACATGATATTTCTCTCATGTGAAAAGTTGAGAGGGAGGCAGTTCCTGGCTGGTATGAGGTATTTGGGCCCCTTCCTGCTCTCACCTCCACAGTTCCTAAGGTGCAGGCTTCATTTACATGTTCCAAAAGAGCCATTCCTGCTTTAGCCATCACTGTGATGTTCTGGGCAGTGGGATGAAGGAAGGGTGAAGAAGGATATGCTCTCTGCCTTAGAAGACTTCTCAGAAGTTTCATACATCACCTCTGCTTACCTTGATTGGTCATAACTTAATTACCTGAGTGCACTGAGCTGCAAGGAACGCTGGGAATATAGTCTTTATTCCCAGAGGCCATGAACCCAGCTAGACATCTGTGCTCAATGACTAAGGAAGTAAGAGAGATGCATATTTTAGACAGCTACCACCTTCCATCATGTGTTACTTGATATTATTTAAATTTATAAATGTACATATTTTAATGTAAGAATTATTTAATGTCTACTATGTGTCAGGATGGAGTCAGATCCTATGGGGAATGGAATATGAGCAGGACAGGAGGCTATATAAAGTTACAGAAATGAATATTCCATAGGTTGTCAAATACAGTGTTAGTTTTCATACCATTAAAAAAGAACACCACTGCCATTTTCATTGTAATACATTTTTTGTTTTAGATATGCTAACAATTTCAGAGCTGTTTAAATGTGAAAAATATGCCTCTTAGAAATAATATAATTAACTGCTTCAAAGTACGGATTCTGGGATCAGATCTTTTTGGTGGCTTTATTTAATCTTTCTAAACCTCAGTGCCCCTATATGTAAAATGAGGGTAAAAATAGTTCCTACTTCAGGCTGGGCACAGTGGCTCACACCTGTAATTCCAGCACTTTGGGAGGATGAGGCAGGTGGATCACCCGAGGTCAGGAATTCAAGACCAGCCTGGCCAACACTGTGAAACCCCATCTCTACTAAAAATATAGAAATTAGCTGGATCTGGTGGCACATGCCTGTAATCCCAGCTACTCAAGAGGCTGAGGCAGGAGAATTGCTTGAAGCCAGGAGATGGAGGTTGCAGTGAGCCGAGATCATGCCACTGCCTTCCAGCCTGGGCAACGAGAATGAAACTGTCTCAAAAAAAAAAAAAAAAAAAAAAAAATTCCTGCCTTGCAGGGTTGTGAAAGGATTAAATGAGATGATTCACATGAAGCTTATAGCCCAATGTCAGACATTCAGTAAGTGCTCATTAAATGTTGGCTTTTAGTAGCTTTAAGTAAAGATTCCTGGCTTTAAAATAGCTTACCCTCTAATGGGAAACACCACTAACATAATAGAGGCAACAAAATGGGGAGAGGAGCGGGAAAATTGCGCAGCCTAAGTTCTAAGTGGGAAACTGGTGTTTCGGTGTGGGCTGTTTCGTCAGTTACACTAAGATGCTTGGTTTGAATTCCAGGATAGCTAACACGTATAATAAATACTATGCCAATTTAAATGATCTGAGGAAAATCACCCTAAGTAGTAGAAGAAAAATATTAGCCATTCAGACAATTCCAACGCATGATGTCTGTTTCACACACACCCACCGCCCCCCACCCGCTGTGTAGGGTGGACCCATGCAAGAAGACTGCCTCCTGTGTGGAACTTCAGAGAAAATGGCAAGACCTGAGCATAGCTGAAGGGTGTTAGAGGTTCCTCTTGACAGGAGACTTATGGAATGTGTTCTGCAAAGTTCTTATATTTTCACCAATGTCTAGACAGATAAATTCCCAAGTGGCATTGCTCCTTGGAGGCAAAGATCCCACTGAGACAGATAAACTTCCATTTGTTTTCAAGGAATGTTGACTATTGCAAAAGAATGGAATCATCTCCCCAGGAAAAGCTAATTATAATGGGATTCTTGATTCTTTGGGAAACCACCCTTTCCCATTGCATTTTCATCTTTAGTATGTTTGATTTAGAACCGACCACATCTATCTCAAGTATGTTTATTCCCTTTGGTTAAGTGGTGCCTATAATATTTACAGCCTAGGAGAGTAAAATGTAACTATTATGTCTTGAAGAAACTAACCACCTGAAGTTTACCAAGTTATCTCTTAAAACTTTTTGGCTTCTTAAATTAGCTCATATGTCATATTGTATAGTTTAAATTTGGGAGAAAAAATTGAAAACCTGAGATTTTTAGCTCTCTCTCAAAATAGAATTTTATTGTATTCAAAGAGATTTTTAAAAATGAATTTGTCTTGCATAATAATTTATTTCTTAAGGAGCAGCTTTGGGATATGGCAATTTATTAATTATATTTACACAAAATATTTTCATTGGCATCTATAGGACCTGAATATTCCCTACATTCCACTCACTTGTGGAAGTTACCTGGTGATATGGTTTGGCTGTGTCCCCACCCAAATCTCATCTTGAATTGTAGCTCCCATAATTCCCACATGTTGTGGGAGGGAGCTGGTGGGAGATAATCGAATCATGGGGGTGTTTCCCCCATACTGTTCTCCTGGTAGTGAGTAAGTCTCACGAGATCTGATGGTTTCATAAGGGGAAAACCCTTTCACTTGATTCTCACTCTCTCTCTTGCCTACTGCCATGTAAGACACGCCTTTTGCCTTCCACCATGATTGTGAGGCCTCCCCAGCCATGTGGAACTGTGAGTCCATTAAACCTCTTTTTCATTATAAATTACTCAGTTTCTGGTATGTCTTTATTAGCGGCATAGAGAACAGACTAATACACTTGGGTAAGGTGACTTGCACAGTTGTAGTTCTTGTGTCTAATGGATCAGCAGCCCCTTCTTGTGAGGAGCAGGATCTGATTTGTCATGGTGGCTGTGTCACTCAGGTAATCCTCCAGAAGACAGAAGAGGGGAGGGACCCGTGTATGCAGTAGTAGTCACTGTCTGGGAGGCCACAGTCCCTGTGCTCTTGTTGCCACTGGTGCCCTCATAGATGTCAGCACTCTTGGTGTCTTAGGCCTGGAGAGCAGCTATTGGTGCTTTGTTTGGCATGCACAACTTGCCCTTGACTTCAAATGACCGGAGTGTTTATCTCTGAGTTGCCATGGGTGGACTTCTGCCTCCTGATCTATGTGCTCACTTCACTCTTCAGTCAGTAAGAAAACACCTTCCC
The DNA here is from genome assembly GCF_000001405.40 of Homo sapiens. Lineage (NCBI taxonomy): Eukaryota > Metazoa > Chordata > Mammalia > Primates > Hominidae > Homo > Homo sapiens. The sequence continues at coordinate 76,732,518 of NC_000013.11, read as the reverse complement.
CTTTTAGAGCCCAGCGATCTTCCTTGGGCATGTGGCTGGGTGGGAGATGTCTTATAACATAGACACCAATAGATACAGCTGTTTCAATTATAGTACCAAGCTTTCCAGTGACAAAGTGGCAAAATTCACATGGCACAGTGGCTTAGGGTCTTAGAGATACAGCTTTGCATATTAAAGAATTTTTTTCTACATATTTCTCTTTTTTTAGGGTACATAAACAGTCCTGCCTGCAACATATTTGGACCCCAGAATAAGAATATTCACGTACAAAAGGTCTAAATACTTGAGTGTAAATCAAGTGAACATACTATTATATAAAGTATATCTTACCCTCCTACTTGACAAATATTCCTTTACTACAACAAAATTTCTATTTTTAAAATTTTAACGTTTTTACTTTTCTGAACTGCATTTTATATTTTCTATTATAATTTTAGCTTGTTCTCAATTTCAATGATCTAAGTAATGACAAAATAAATTTAATTTTATTTGGAGTATTAAAAAATTGAATGCATTTGAATTCTATTTAAAAATATAAATTAAAATAAATGTAAACATTAAAATATAAAATCCTTTCATGTGTCCAAAAGCTTATTTTTCTAATGAAATATTTTTAAAAGATCTATTGAAATTAAATGAGAAAATTCAAGTTATAATGAATGAATATCAAAGAGTTCAATCAATTATTTAAATGGAGCTGGAATTTTAATTTTAATTTTATGAATATAAATTAAATTATTTAAATATATCTATAAAAAATAAAACTGCTACTAAGCCTAGTCATCAGTGTCCCTCTGGTTATTAGTGTGAAGAAATATCTCACTTTGTGCATGCTATGTCTGTATCTTCAGGTATAGTTTAAGAGTATAAACTTACATATGTCTAACTTAAGACATGAACGGTGTATTTAATAATAAAGAATATTCCTCATCTTCCACATGCAACAGTTGTGAATATTGTACTAATTTGTGAGTGCTTCCAGAGCCCTAATATGGAACATAAAGAGAAGAAGACAACAGATGCCCAGTAGTTATGGGGAATTATACTTCATTATGCAAGAATTCATTATACTCATAGTACTTGAGAGGATTATGACATGTTATTTGTTTTTCCCTTGCTTGAGCTCTTTTGCTGCTTGCACTCTGAAGCATTATTGATTTCTGAAGCTGGTAATGGCACAGCCCAAAAACCTTCATGGCATTTGGATACAGTGATATTTTCCTTCAAAATCAGAGTGTATTAGTCTGTTTTCATGCTGCTGAGAAAGACATACCCTAGACTGGGTAATTTATAAAGACAAGGAGGTTTAACGGACTCAGAGTTCCACATGGCTGGGGAGGCCTCACAATCATGGCAGAAGGTGAAAGGCACTTCTTACATGGCAGCGGCAAGAGAGAAAATGAGAGCCAAGCAAAACAGGGACCCCATTATAAAAGCATCAGATCTCGTGAGACTTATTCACTACCGTGAGAACAGTATGGGGAAACTGCCCCCATGATTCAATTATGTCCAGTTATGTCCCTCTCACAACACGTGGGAATTATAGGAGCTATAATTCAAGATGAGATTTGGGTGGGAACACAGCCAAAACATATCACAGGGTAATAGATGTGAAGAGTTTTCCTGGGGCCTGAACAGTATTGGTAACAAGAGCAAATATTTAGGATTATGGATTGTGCTAAAATCCCATGAGACAGAGATGCCCAAGTGTTCTTTAAGGAACTTCTTTTGCCTCCGTCTAGGGCATGGGGACTACCAAGAGACAGAGTTATAAGGGGTAAGGTGTCTGTGCATAGCTTTGCACTGTACCTGCTAACATTTTGTCTTTGGATGCTCAGGTCCTGTGCTACTTCTCACTCACCATGCCAGATTATCTCCGCATTCACAAAGCTTTTCTCTTAGGGACTTAGCTGTCTCTCCCTGATATCTGGCTTCCTTCGGATTTTTCCAGCAGATATATCTGTAATGTGTCTGAATATCATTGCCATCAAGATTCAAGTTCTTTCCTATTGACCTGTGGCTAGAATCTGTCTGCATGTCTATGAACATCGTGTGACAGGGATAGACACTTTTTGTGCTAAGACCCTAAGGACTTCTAGGACTGTTGCCTAAATCCACATTCTGATCCAATACAATTTCCTTTCCAGCCTACAAAAGCACCCTATTACGCATGAAGTATTGTCTTTCCAAATGATTTCTTCTCACGAATGGTTTTTAAAATGACAAAATATTCCAGATATTTAATGTGCTTTAAAGATAAACATGGTATTGTTGAGAGAGATTAACTGCTCTGCTCCTTGGTTCTTCTGTTGATCTTCTTCATAGGAGGTTGTCACCACCCAGGTGACAAATCCAGGTGTAAAAATAGAGACCTTTTTCTCTTCATGGGCAATATCCTGAAGCTTCTAGTCTTTGGCTCCTCTAAGATCTCTTTTCCCAGCTTAACTATAACCATGTAAGCAGAGCCCACACAGCTAATTTATAATTAAAGTAGAGAATTTAGGGGCACAGATTACTTATTGCTGAGACCAAGCTTTTAACTTTCTTTTTAGGTGTATCTCATCAATTCTGAGCTCTTTAATCCTACTGTTTTTTTCAGTGACTCTCTTGCTTCAGAATGCTAGATCAGCAGTTTTGACACCAGTGCCACCTTTTCAGTTCTTCCCTTATGACTTAATTTCATATCCTCTGTAACCTCCTTCTCTTTCACGTTCTTCATCCTCCTTCATGTTCTTCATCCTCCATATGGATTGATATGTGATATTTAAAGATAAGTCTTAAATCCTAGTTTCATCACTCACTAGAATGTGACTCTGGGAAAATTACCCAGTCTCTCTAAGCTTCAGTTTTTCCATTTATAAAAAGGAACTGATAATGCCTATCTTGTGAGATGGTGGGAACGATTAAATGAGATAATTCAGGTAAATAATTTGGTAGAGATCTGACATATGCAAGATGATCACTAAATAGTGCCTCTCTGTTTTTAACTTCCTCCCTTTTGTCTTCAGGTTGTGTCACACCTTTTCCTGAACTTTGGCTCAATTGAAGAAGGAAACTTTCAGGGGAATTCCAATAGTAAACAACAGAACCAGCAGTTTTACAATAAACTGCAGAGCTCCATTTCAAAACACAAAAATAGAGCGTCTCTGCAGTGATGTACTGCCTTAAGGAAGGGTAAGATTTTTTTCACGGATGTTACCAAACTTTAATGAAGTACATGTTGTCCACTCCGTGTATGGATTTTTGCATGATTTCTATTTTCCAATGAAGTTCAAGTAAAATAATTAGAACATCACTTATATATAAAATGCTGACAAATCTCTACAAAACTCACAAAACAGAAAAATTCAAGGCCAGTCCATCTTTGGCCTATAATCTGGCTTTCATGCTCTTCTAGTTTCTCCTGACCCCCTGTATTAGTCTGTCTTTATGCTACTGATAAAGACATACCTGAGACTGGGAAGAAAAGGAGGTTTAATTTGATTTACAATTCCACATGGCTGGGGCGGCCTCAAAATCATAGTGGAGGGTGAAAGGCACTTCTTACATGGTGGCAGCAAGAGAGAATGAAGAAGAAGGAAAAGCAGAAACCCCGATAAACCCATCAGATTTCATGAGACTTATTCACTATCATGAGAGTAGCACAGGAAAGAGTAGCCCACATGATTCAATTACCTTCCCCTGGGTCCCTCCCAGGGGACCGAGGGGAACGTGGGAATTCTGGGAGATACAATTCAATTTGAGATTTGGGTGGGAACACAGCCAAACCATATCATAGCACCCCTGGCCCCTCCAAATCTCATGTCCTCACATTTCAAAACCAATAATGCCTTCCCAACAGTCCCCAAAAGTCTTAACTCATTTCAGCATTAACCCAAAAGTCCACAGTCCAAAGTCTCATCTGAGACAAGGCAAGTCCCTTCCACCTATAAGACTGTAAAATCAAAAGCAAGCTAGTAACTCCTTAGATACAATAGGGGTACAGGTATTGGGTAAATACAGCCTTTCCAAATGGGAGAAATTGGCCAAAACAAAGGCCCATGCAAGTCCTAAATCCAGTGGGGCAGTCAAATTTTAAAGCTCCAAAATGATCTCCTTTGACTCCAGGTCTCACGTCCAGGTCACGCTGATGCAATAGGTAGGCTCCCATGATCTTGGGAAGCTCCACCCCTGTGGCATTGAAGGGTACAGCCTCCCTCCTGGCTGCTTTTATGGGCTGTCATTGAGTATCTGTGGCTTTTCCAGGCACAAAGTGCAAGCTGAAGGTGGATCTACCATTCTGGGGTCTGGAGGATGGTGGCCTTCTTCTCATAGCTTCACTAGGTAGTGCCCCAGTAGGGACACTGTGTGGGGGCCCTGACCCCACATTTCCCTTCTGCACTGCCCTAGCAGAGGTTCTCCATGAGGGCCCCGCCTCTGCAGCAAACTTTTGCCTGGGCATCCAAGCGTTTCCATACATCTTCTGAAATCTAGGTGGAGGTTCCCAAACCTCAACTCTTGACTTCTGTACACCTGCAGGCTCAACACCACATGGAAGGTGTCAAGGCTTGGGGCTTCCCCGCTCTGAAGCCACAGCTTGAGCTGTATGTTGGCCCCTTGCAGTCATGGCTGTAGTGGCTGGCACACAGGGCACCAAGTCCCTAAGCTGCACACAGCATGGGGACCCTGGGCCTGGCCCACAGAACCACTTTTTCCTCCTGGGCCTCTGAGCCTGTGATGGGAGGGGCTTCTGTGAAGGTCTCTGACATGTCCTGGAGACATTTTCCTCAGGGTCTTGGAAATTAACATTAGGTTCCTTGCTACTTATGCAAATTTCTGCAGCTGACTTGAATTTCTCCCTGGAAAATGGGTTTTTCTTCATTTAGAATTCATCATCAGGCTTCAAATTTTCTAGACTTTTCTCCTCTATTTCCCTTTTAAAATGGAATGCTTTTAACAGCACCCAAGTCACATTTTGAATGCTTTGCTGCTTAGAAATTTCTTCTGCCAGATACCCTAAATCATCTCTCTCAAGTTCAAAGTTCCACAAATCTCTAGGGCAGGGGAAAAGTGCCACCAGACTCTTTGCTAAAACATAACAAGAGTCACCTTTGCTTCAGTTCCTAAGAAGTTCATCTCCATCTGAGACCACCTCAGCCTGGACCTTATTGTCCATATCGCTATCAGGCTTTTGGTCAAAGCCATTCAACAAATCTCTAGAAATTTCCAAACTTTCCCACATTTTCTTGTTTTCTTCTGAACCCTCCAAACAGTTCCAACCTCTGTCTATTCTCTAGTTCTAAAGTTGCTTCCACATTTTCAGGTATCTTTTCAGCAACACCCCACTCTACTGGTACCAATTTACTGTATTAGTTTGTTTTCACACTGCTGATGAAGACATACTGATAACTGGGAACAAAAAGAGCTTTAATTGGACTTACATTTCCACATAGCTAGGGAGGCCTCAGAATCATGGCAGGAGGCAAAAGGCACTTCTTACATGGAGGCGGCAAGAGTAAAATGAGGAAGAAGCAAAAGCAGAAACCCCAGATAAACCCATCAGATCTCGTGAGACTTATTCACTATCACGAGACTAGCACAGGAAAGACCAGCCCCCATGATTCAATTACCTCCCCCTGGGTCCCTCCCACAACACGTGGGAATTCTGGGAGATACAATTCAATTTGAGATTTGGGTGGGGACACAGCCAAACCATGTCACCACCCATGCCACTATTATGAGGCTGAGCAGTAAGGGTGGCCTGTGTGAGAAAGATATGCTGCTGTCATGCGGTTTCTGCAGTAAAGAGGTCATGCACTGGTTATTAGGAAACACTACTTCAAGTCCTCCATGTAGTTTGCTACCAAAAAAAAAAAAAAAAGCAATTTGTGCATTACAGAAAATAGGTGGATCACAGAGGATTTTCAGGGTGGTGAAATGCCCTTAATGATAGATATTATAATGGTGATACATGTCATTGTACATTTGTTCAAACCCACAGAATGTATATCACCAAGAGAGAACCCTAATGTAAACTAGGGACTTTAGGTGATTATGATGTGTCAATGTAGGGTCATCATTGGTACAAATGTACCAATCTGGTGGGGAATGTTGATAATGGAGTCTGTGTATATTGGGGGACAGGGGATATATATGGGAAATCTCTGTACCTTTCTCTTAATTTTGCTGTGAGCCTAAAATTGCTCTGAAAAAATTAAGTATTAGTATTTAAAAAATAAAGCCTGAGATAAATGAGAAAAAAAATAATGTCTATTCAAAATATTTGATGTCCTAAAGAGAGGAAAAATGACCTTCTCATAGAATTGAAATAATTGAAACTCTCTTTTAACATGTTAATTGGTTTTCTCTGCTTGCTTCATTTTAGGTCTTCTCTGTAGTCCTGGAAATTCCCAGTGTTCCCTCCCTCGTGCTTTTAATCTTGCTGTTCAAGGTTGAATTCTTCTCTTTTTGCCTCTCCAGGAATCCTAATTGTTCAAGGTCTTGCTTCTGGTCCTCCTGAGGCCTCCCTACCTCCTGTGGGTCCCTTCAGTGATCTCTAAATTGTTTCAGTTAAATTTAAACTGTGTAGGAACAAGGACCATGTGCTGTACTTAAAAATGCCACATCCCTTACAGAGCCTGGTTATAGTTCTGGGCATGTAGTAGGTGTAAATTTAATATGTGTTGACTGTTTAAAAACTTCTGTTAACTTAATCAGAAAACAAGAAAAATTTACCAAGTCTTTTACTGCTTTCAAAACATGTCTAGTATGTATGTTTCTTATGTTTTAAAATGCCTCTGCTCATTTTGTTCTTGTGCTAATGCAGAGCAACAACAGAGGGTGAACATCAGGTGTGCTCTTTTACATACGGTAGGGAAGGTGGAGAGATGCCATTGAAACCCATCTGGAAGAGTGAAGAGAGTAGGAACACCAAAGTAGTAAATAAATTCATAAACATAGGAGAGAGTTTGTTGATAGCCTGAAGGAGCATCCCAAATGCATTAAAAACAACTGCAGATTCTCATGATGCTAAGCTAGGGGAACTCGGGCAAGTAATTGTGTTTGATTTGCTTGCTTTTCTTGACTAAATCAAGAAAACAACATACAAATGGAATGCAGTGTAGTGGCCAAAGGAAAAAGGAAAACCCCAAACTCAGAATGCTGTGAGTGTGAAATGACCTTTTAGTTACTTTCTCCTGTTTTTTTTTTCTACTGCTGTTTGTGATTCAGGAAAGACAGCTTTTTATGTGTCTCTGCTAAACCTGGGGTAGCTATTCTTTCAATTTTTAAAAGTCTCTCAACAGATGCTATCTCCTGAAACACAAAACAAAAACAGAACAGAACAAAACAAAAAAAAAAAACAAAGCAGAACAGTACAAACCCATAGATAACTCTCCCTCCTCATACCAAACTAGGCATACTCTGAAATCGGGGGAGAATAATTCTTTTTTATATTTCTCTATGTTCGATGGTAGGTTTGGGTGTGCATAGGTTATGTTTCTTACAGCATTCTCATTTTAGAATATTTATATTAAGTTCCTTTTGCAAATCCACAGCAGATAACATGGATGGGGAGGGTTTCTGCTAATTCCCGTGTAAATCATCCCAGTGGCTAAACAACAGAGATTATTGTTAGATGGGTTATTGAAAATAAAGCACTCATCATTTTCTATTCTTTTGGCAGAAACAGTAGTTGCATGAGGCACCTAGGCATGGTTTGTTCTGTTGCTGATTTAATCCTTCCTCTTTTCCTTCCTTCTCTCCTTGCCTTCCTTCTATTTCTCCTTCTTTTTTCTCAGCTTGCTGTGCAGTGATTCTAAAACACAATGACCTCCCAATGTCTAGTACTTGCCCACTTCATATGGGAAGTACCCTAGCCTGAGTTTCCTGCTTTCTTAATATCTACTTCCATGGGTGCATGTTATCTATGGACACATAATCAAAATGTAAAAACAGTTTGGCTCCCACGTTTAGCAACACTCAGTGTGATCTTCCTTAATGTTTGGCCCGTTGTGTCACATAGACTTTCCTTGTATTTTAATATGCATTTTCCTCCAGTCCTTGTTGAATTCATTTGCATTGCTCTTTAGTTCTTGCTGATAATTCTTTTCAGTAATGGTGTCATATCAGATTTAAAAATCTGGAAAATAGTTTGACATTTATAAGGTATGTTTTGATTTTGCAGGAAAATAGATGTGCTTTTTTGTTTGTTTGTTTTTTGGTCTCATTCTCCTTCTCAATTCTTTGAAAAAAAATGCAACAGGAAGAAGCAGCTAAATAGTAGCCAATAGGTATTCTAGTATGTAATGAGGAATATTAAATAATCACTCCTAAAGCCCGTGGCATTTGCCTATCATGATGGAGACCAGTGACAAATAATAATACATCTGTAACATTGTATCAATAATGTTAGCTGGAGTGGTGAGCACCCTTGATTTTGAAAGCAGCTTTGAAACTCAAGTGTGCTAACAGTAGAGAAACTAAGAGAAGAATCTACAAGATGTGTTAAACTGAGAAGGAGGGAAGGAGCCAGGGTAGTTTAGCTTGCAGAAGAGGAGACAAAATGAGATGTGAAAGAGGGAGCAGACTCTGTCCACATTGTCCCTGAAGGCCTGCTGGGTTTGCTGCCTTCTAGAAATAGTCTAGCAGAGGTTGGATGACTAAATTTCAGGAATGTTACCAACAATGCTTTCCTGGGGTGAGTGTAGGGCAGATGGTGTCCTTGGTCTCTGCGTGAGAAACAGAGAGATTCTGAGCTGCATAGTTAAGAAAGTGCGGGGCATCATCAGGGGCAGAGAATGAAATCTGGCATTGAGCTTTTCCGGGGGCTTGAAGCTCTGACTGTGTTACATGTGACAGCACCTCCTGCTTCCTGTTTGCTGTGAGTTTGAGGTTGTGGCCTGCAGCAGTTGTTAGGGAAGTCTGTAAGCCTGCACCTATGGAGTGGGGCTTCCGGGAGCCTGGGAGGAGCACCACCCAGACTGGGCTCAGCAACTTGGGGCTGAATATTTCTTTCTTTCTTTTCTTTCTTTCTTTTTTTTTTTTGAGATGAAGTCTTTCTCCCTTGCCCAGGCTCGAGTGCAGTGGCATGATCTCAGCTCACTGCAACCTCCGCCTTCCTGGTTCAAGTGATTCTCCTGCCTCAGCCTCCCAAGTAGCTGGGATTACAGACGCCCATCACCATGCCGGGCTATTTTTGTATTTTTAGTAGAGACAAGATTTCACCATGTTGGCCAGGCTGGTCTCGAACTCCCAACCTCAGGTGATTCACCAGCCTCAGCCTCCCAAAGTGTGGGGATTACAAGCATGAGCCACCACGCCCAGTCGGGGCTGAATATTTCATTTGGTGAAATGATGAGGAAATTGATTTATTATTACCCAGGCCTATATTATTCTTCTACTAGCATCACAAGAGTTTTCCTCTTGTTAATTTTAGAGAAGTGGGAAGAGTGAAGAGTAAACATATTTGTGTCGGCCATTAAAGAACACACTTATGAAAGCTTGCACACCCTCTTAGTGAGGCCCTGAGCACAGTGTGGACTGAATATGAAAACATCAGTTGGGACATTGTGTCTCATCCAGGGACACAGCTGCTGTGGAGGTTTTCACTGCATTTTCAGTAAGGCATTATAGAGACAGCCTGTTCCTGTAATGGCTTTGGTGTAGCAAGCTAATAGGAAGAAAAGAAAGGGCAGAATGGTCTTGGGAGAGAGAGAAACAGTGTGAGAAATACATGAATGTGCAGAGAGGGGAGAAATCATTGCAGGATGGGAATTTGAAACATGTAAATAGGAAAGGAAAAATAAATGTTCTTTGGATGCTAACAAAGCAAAGAACTAGACTTAGCAAATGAGATTGACTTATAGGAACACAAGTCTGTCTTCACTAAATAAGAGGAGAAGCAATGGAAATAATTATATCTCATGTAAAATAGAAGTCAGCACCTCTTCTTGCTGTGCCTAGTCTTCTCTGTGAAGTGGAGCTTTCCTTTGGTGAAAGATGCATTATCTGGCTTACCCCTACTCTCCAAGCTCTAGAAGTAGGCACTTCTGATGTTCCTTGTTTCAACTGAGGAAACAGCTGGATCAATCACAGTAGACTTGATTTTTAAAAATTGGTTAAAGATAGCTTTTTACCTAGAATTTCATGTTACTAGAAATCAGAAAGCTTAAGAAGTCTTTAAAAAAACGACAGGACTTATTTTGGTTTTCATTTCAACAAAATTTTATTTGAAACACAAGAACCTAGAGGTGGTCCTTAAAAACTGATAGTGACAATAATAAAACATCTGTGAATAATATATTCAGGCTGAGTTGCAGACCAACATAAATCCCAGTTTCTTGGGGAGGTGGAAGGATACTCACATTTATGGAAGTGGAAAGAGAAGTTTCACTTGTTGAATGCTAACATTGTGTCAGGCACTGGGCTAAGACTGCAATCTCATTTATTTGTCACAACCCTGAAATTAAGTATTATTGTTATGCCAAGTAGAAAACTGTGATCCTATTATTTAGAAAAAAAATATGGACTATAAGTTTCTGAACTTATTCATTGACTATCTGGGCTTGGATGAAACATAAAGTTTCTACAACTTGCCTTTCAAGTCCATAAGATTTCTTTTGAGAATTTGTCACTTCTCTTTTTCATGAGAGTATATTGAAACACTAGACTTCCTACCATTGCCACTACCTGGATACTTCTCCTCTTACTAAGGTGGTAGAAGGCTGGAGACCTTCAAGCCATAATGCCACCTCATCCTAAAGCTTCACCTGTGGTACCTGGTGACAACGCCCATTGAAACTTGGTTAAGCCCTGCAGCCAGACAGTGTAACGACTTGCTTGACCTTCTATTGACTCAGGTTAAGCAGCTCTCTCACTTGTAATGAAGAAGGCTTGGGGTAGCAGTGTGGAAGTGATATCTCCCTCCTGGAAGGTCATTTCTCATGGTGACCTCCACCCAAAAATGAACTTGTGTCAAGGGTTTGCGTACAAGCAGTTTCTTTGGGATGTGATCCCAGGAAGCACTGCAAGACTGTGGCAGAAGAGAAACAAGAAGGGAAAAAAAACACTACAAAGTGTGATAACGAGTGGGCTACTGCTGTGAGCAATTGGAGCTTCATCCTTCTAGGGACCTTCTGAAAGACTATGGAACACATTTCAGAACCCTCCTATTGCTCTGTGTTTATCCACCAATTCCTACCCTTCATTAACTGAGGGTTCCTTCTGGGGCAATTTCTAGCCTGCCAACCCTTTCCCACTGTCAGAGATTGCCTACACAGGTGAAGAGATATAGAAAGGCATTTAAACAAGAATAGTACATAGTTACTTTCTGCATGGGTGGAGGGGATATGGCGGGCCACCAACAGGGTCTTCCCATCCCCCATCTCAGGGGGCTCTGAACCTGCCAACTCACATGCTTTCTTCCCAGTGCAGGAGAGAAACTTTCTCCTGCCAGCTACATGCTCCTGCTTTAGCTTGTAGAAAAAGGAACAAATGTGTGCCCACACTTCTGCCTTCCAACACTTGTTCCCTATGGGGGAAGGCTTATGAAGGGAACTTCTGGCTTCTCTCTACTCCTTACTAAGGATGCTCCAAGTGAAAGAAAGTAGCTAATATGATTGTTGGGAAGCCTACTGGTCCTGAGTAGACTGGTCTGTGGGATCAGGGTCCCTGTATTTTGTGGCATGGCCCCTTTCTCCTATCTGTGACATATGTTGGTAAGAGAGTCAGGGCTTTCTTCACTTCTGTTTTCCTGTGAGGTAAGCATGGGCCTGGAAATGGGTCTGCAGAAGATTTCTAGAAGGAAAGAGAGCCATTTTTCTCTTGCTCTTGCCATTGCATCAGTGTCTGATTGTGTGAGGCTGACCCATGACCCTGCGCCCAGCAGCTAGTCAAGGTTCTGAGTTGTTTATCTAACCTCACTCTAGGGTAGACTCCAAAGTCTTGATTCAGAGAAGGAGAGGAAACCCCAGTGACCTTCAGACTTCAGTTTAGTTCTCCCACATGTTTGCAAAAGATTCTCCTCTGGCTCCACTTGCCAGCCTCTAAGGAGGGTGATGCTAATCTCCATTTAGGTTTTCATTTGGGTGTTTGTGCCATTTTTTAGGACCTTGTAGGTTTCTTACTTTCCAAAAGACAGACAGGATATGGGCTCCAAACCCTACCCTGAATCCTTAATCTTTTAATTATTAAGAATTTGTGACCTGAATTCAAATTTCAGTGCCACTATTTTTTAGTTGTATGAAATTGTCCAATAAAATGTATGGCAGAGGCACCTGACAGCTGTAACTGAAGGATACCATGAGGACGACCCTATGGTCTAAGCAGAGCGTTGGTTCAGAATTCTGAGCTAAGGAATCTGGGAGTGGCCAATCCAGACATTGATCTTATCTATGAAGGACAATTGAACCCCTTGCCCATTCTTTGGAATATAGGTCATACAGGGGATTGGGAGGCCCTTGTTTTGGGTTAAATGGAGGTTGCTAGGTGGAGGTTGCTATGTGAAAATGCTATATAAATTGTATGGTTTTTACAAATGGTAGTGGTTCTCTCATCCAGCCTGCTGCCACTGTACTATCCCTGTGTGTAAGTGCCCCCAATAAACTCTGTATATCATTCCCTGTCACCAAGTCTCTTCTTTGGCTTCTCAGACACAGTGCTATCCCTATTGGAGTCAGTAGGTGGCTGGCATGACATTAAATAACTACCTAGGGCCTCAATTCTCTCTTTTCAAAATAAAAAAATGATGCCTATCTTATAGGATTTTAATGAAGATATCTGAGATGGTACAAGTATCACATATTACCTTGCACATAGTAGCTGCTCAGTAAATTTAGTTGCTATTAGCTAAGGCAACTTCAACTTCAGATTTTAATTTCAGTTACTATCCTCTCTAAACTCAAAAAATATGAAGTGTATTTTATTTGCTCTATGGCAGTCAATACCTGGAGAAGTACTTCTTTCATAATACTAACAGTTAACTAAAGTTATGAAAACCAAGGTTGTCATTTGTTTTCCTAGTATCTCTTTAGGGAGTTTCCTTCTCCCCCTGCAAGTTTTAGTCTGAAAAGTTTGAGTGGGGATGACCTCAACTCCTTGGTGTAAGAGGTTGGTCCAGGCCCAATATTTGGTAGTCTAATTTTACCTGTTTTTTTCTACGAGACCAGGGAGAGCTATTTGTCTCTTATCTTCATCTTTTCCCTTTCCTATATGAATTCGTCATTTTTGAATGGGACCCATTGTTTATTGACAAATAGGAATGTTTGTGTATGTCAGGACAGAGAGAGATTAAGGTGAAGCAAAAACAAGGCTCCTGGGGTGCAGAATTTAAGGAGGCAACTCACTTTTAGGATTTCCCTAGGCTTCTTTCTTGCCTGACCTTACTTCTGTCACTGGTGTGTCTGTATATGTGTGTGTGTATGTGTGTGTGTGTATGCGCGTGTGTGTATGCGTGTGTGTGTAGAGGTAGTGCTGGGGTGATGCCAACATGGAGGTGGTAGTAGTGGTGAATGAGCCATATATATCCATTGGCCTCCTTAGAGTTTCTTGTCTTGAGAACTTTCTCCCTTCATCAAATCTATCCTCCTTTTGCCTGGGGGAACAATATCCCTTTGCTTTTCAGGAACCAGAAGATAGCATAGCTAACAGCAAAGCCATTGGGATCACAGGCTTGTTGTTCTCTGCTCACCGCTGTTTCATTTCCTCCCTCCACTCAGTTCTTCCCCTGGCTTTTTCCCTTAGATAAGAGGCTGGATCATCCCAAGAAAAGATAAGATGTCCTGCTTTCTCCTATAGCTCACTCTGCTCTCCTTGGTTTTGTGATGTTGCATTGTGACTGTTCAAGAACATTTTCTGCCTCTCCCATGATCGTCCTCACGACAAGAATTCAAGGTTTCAGTTCAAAGATTACTGGCTCCCTTATTGTAGGAGATGTCTTCATTCTGCCTAGGGTCTGAGGAGCTGGCCCCTAGGTAGGCTTCTTAAATCAATCCTCGCACAGTACCTCCTAGGTTGGCCTTATAGTGTGCGGCTTGTGGTTGTGACAGTTTCTGTATTTCACTGAAGTAGGAGACGTTCTATCTGTACAGTTTTAGATTTTTTTGGTGAGTTTTTATGTGGCAAGCTGAGCAAAAATGCTTTTATACTATATTCAGTGACAGCCTATTCCCAGGCACGTAGTAGATACACAGTAATTATGTATTAATTGTCGGTGGGGAGATCTGGGGTAGAACTTTAAAGGAGGCAGAGTGCAAAAGGAGATGTGAAGGATTCCGAAGGGGACACTGCTGTTACTGGCTGTGACTTCTACTGGGTACAAACTCTTGTCTTTTCCATGACTTCCACGCTGCAGTCTTTAGGCGCATTAAGAAGGGAGGGAGACTTCTCTTAGTCTTTCATCTTCTCTCTTACAGAGAAGCTCAGTTGTTGTCCAGTTTGTGTATTTTTCCCTGCCCAGATCTCATGTTGAATTGTAATCCCCACTGTTGGAGGTGAAGCCTGGTGGGAGGTGCTTGGATCATGGTGATGCATTTCTCATGAATGGTTTAGCACCAGCTTCTTGCTGCTGTTGTTGTGATAGTGAGTGAGTTCTCATGAGATGTGGTCATTTAAAAGTGTGTAGCACCTTCCTGCCATGTTCTCTCTTTCTTGCTCCTGCTTTTGTCGTGTGATTTCCCTGCTCTGCTTTCTCCTTCTGCCATGATTGGAAGCTTCCTGAGGCCTTCCCAGAAGCAGATGCCACTATGCTTATACAGCCTGCATAACCATAAGCCAATTAAACCTCTTTTTTAAAAAAAATATAAATGGGGTTGGGGGAGGGAGAGGGATAGCATCAGGAGACATACCTAACGTAAATGACGAGTTAATGGGTGCAGCACACCAACATGGCACATGTATACATATGTAACAAACCTGCACATTGTGCACATGTACCCTAGAACTTAAAGTATAATAAAAAAACAAAAAAAAAAAAAAAGAAACATTAAAACTCACTAACTCTTAGATTTGAGTAGATGGCTCTTACCACAAGTTAAAAATATATATATATATATTATATATAAATTACCTAATCTCAGGTACTTCTTTATAGCAGTGCAAGAATCCATTAATACAGTAGTGGAAAGCCTTTTCCAAGTCTAGGTCTGAAGATCCAGCTATCAATAATGCAAGTGAGTGTAAGTTACTCTTGCATTGCCATTTCCAGACACAGATGAGCTATGGTGATTCACCAGGCAGGACAGTCACTTCGTTGCTGCTATCTGATTTGATGTCTCCTTGGAGCCAGGGTGATGCTTGTCTGGGTCTCTCACAGGCTCCTCTTTGGACCAGCTGGTCTCTTTACTTGATCTAAACAATTTCTGGTTTCAGCAAAATAGGCTACATTGTAATTTAATATGTATTTTTTAATCAGAAGAAGAATGCAGCATGTTAATATAATTTCAAAAGACAATAATATTTAGAAAAAAATGTCTTTTTCTAAAAGTGGATAATTTTATTTATGTTGGTCTCCTGTTAGAGTCTGAAAGATAATCTTTCAAGGTTGTTTAGAATTGACTCATGGGCGTTTTCAAGATGGATCATAGCATCTCCTTTTCTGAGCCTGGTAAAAAAAAAGTTAAACGGGAATAAGTTTTGCTTGGTTTGAAATCACTACTATCTGGAGAAATGCGGATTTTTACACAATTGTTTGAGGTAAATCCTTACAAGTTTTCTAGTGTAAAACTACTATTTCTAGAAAAATCAGGAAATGAGAGTTATTATAAATGATTTCTGGTAATATTGTTGGTTATCCTAGACCTATGCCTTTTTTATTTTCTTCAACAACTTGTTTGACTTACTGAGTCTAAAAATTCATTTTTCTGTTAAAGACCTTTGTCTCACTTATAAAATATATGATAAACAATGTTCATATGATCTCAGATAATTCTGTCATGTCAATAAATAATTTTGTTTCAGGTTTGGATATTCTGGAACCAGCTGCCCTCAAGTCTTCATGTAGACTTACAACATTTTAAGAGTCAGTGCATTATTGAAATTATTACGTTGCTTTATTTGGTATTTTCCATTTCTTCTCTTATTAAATACATTTACTTTCATGGTATATTATACTGTGTAACTTCTTAGTTCTAAATACCTACAGCAACAACATCTTTGAGATTCACTACTTCTTCCTTCTTAAACTATTTCAGTTTTTTTTCTGCTTTTAGCAACTTAGACATAAAATTTAAACAGACACCTTGTTGAATAAGAAACCATTTCTTGTGTTTATGAGTGGTTCCTTTCCCCTGTTCCTTATCCTTTTTCTTTCATTCTTATCCTTTACTTCAGCCTCCACTCTTACTCTGAATGAACACTAATTTATTTTGGAGTTGTCATATGTAATTAATTGCTTTGCAACCAATTGCATCACTGAATAGCTACCGCATTTGATATCACAATAGTCCAACACTGTGATATAATCTAGATAATACTGTGAAATTGAGAATATAGGTCAATATGTTGGAAAAAATTGAAGAATCAGTACTAGAAAAAAATTAATTTTCACATGCTCTAATCACGTCATTTTTATTTTCTTTTGTCAAATTGCCTCTTTCTCATTCCCTTCTCCACATATTGCTTCAATCATGTTTTTTTTTTTTTTTTAACGGTTCTTCTTTCACATAGTTCTTTCTCCACTCACATAAATGCTTAGCCCAGCATTGGAATTCCTCCCCTGTGGGCCTTTCCTTTCATCAAGTTCCATCTTCATTCTTCTCGAGATGGATTACAAAAGGAGCTGATTTAAAATTCACTGTCTGGTCATGAATAGACACGATAAAGAGAGATGTTAATGTAAAATTATATTACAAAATGTTTGTTTAAAAAACTCATCATCTTGCTCCCTTGGGGTTTTCTCTACTAAATTCACTTTGGCGAATAATGACATTCATAAAAAATCTACCCAAGGGCCTTCACGAAACAAAAAGTGCCAAAATGCAGCATTTCATGTCACAAAAATAGCTCAGAAGTTAACAGGTAAGGCCACTGCTTTTTGTTGAATTTAGTTGTTTGGTTTTCCAGTATTTCCCTCGCATTCTTTGTGAGTACATACATACACATAAGCATGCAAATGCACAAAGCACACATACAGATTAGAATTGGGTTTATTTTAATTTCCTGATTGTTTTTGTTCATCTAAGTGCTATTTAAAATAAGTGAGGTTAATGGCAGTTCCCTCTCCTCTCATTCTGTACTCTTCCCCAGTCTTTATTTCCGGTGTGTTAGGAACTTGTTGTTCTTCCCAGATAGTTCAGTTGCAATTGGGAGTTGCAATTTGAGTTGGTAGGTTCTCTCTGGGGCGCTGAGTAAAAGACAACTGTTTGCTATAATGGCCTACACAGCTGCAAGAAAATCACTGTTTATTGCCTTTATAAAAAATAAAATTTGCTGCTTTCGCCTTAGCTTCTTTTGAACCTTCTCAAGAAAATCATTCTGAAGGGCAGAATAGCAGACTTCTTAAGGGCTGGGATTCTGGAGTTGGATTTGGGGTTAAATCCTAACTCTACCATTTACTGTGTGGTATTGAGTAAGTTACTTAACCTTTCTAAGACTCAGTTTTCTCATATATCAAATAGGTATTTATGAAGACAAAATAAACTCATGTATGAAATAACTCTTATCACAGAAAAAAACTTCAGTAAAATATAATTCTTAATATTGTTGTCTTAATAATGCTAATTTGTATTTGTAAGCCAATTTATTATTTTTAAGTAATTTTAAATTTTATTTTTATTTTACTCCTAGTAGATTCCACCTTTGAAGGAGTCTTACAAAACCATTGCCTTTATCTACATTTAGCAGGTATTTTTTGAACATTATGATTGGAACAACATAGAATTGGGCTCTTTGGGCATTAATAAAAAAATACTGGAAGCATCCATCCATTCTCTTTGTGTGCTAAATGTCTGGCCCAATATAAGCATGAAGGCTGTGGAATTCAGTAAGGGAGGAAGACTTATTGGAGAGAGGAATACATATTTAGAATTCTATGAAGTAGGCAATGTTCTTCCTCATTGCACAAAATAGGCCAGGAGTCTGAAGACTTCCATTTTAGTCCCATCTCTGCACTAACTAGGTGTCTTAGCAATTAACCTTTTGGAATCTAGGCCTCTTCATTGATCAGATTAATTTTCCAAAAGAACAGCTTCAATCACATTGTTCTATGGCTTAAAAGCCTCTCCATTGCTCACTGAATTAAAGTCTAACCTCTGTGCTTGGCATTCAAAGTGCTGTAATAGTCAGAGTTTTCCAGAGAGATAGAACCTATACATATATACATGTGAGAAGGGATTTACTGGGGGAATTGGTTCACATCATTATGAAGGCTGAGAAGTACCAACACAGGCCCTCTGCAAGCTGGAGAACCAGGGAGGTAGATAGTGTGGCTCAGCCTAAAACCTCATAACCAGGGATGCTGATGGTATAATTCTCAGTTTGAGGCTGAAGGCTTGAGTACCCAGGGTCACCTGTGTGAATCCTGGAGTCGAAAAGCCAGAGAATGTGGAGTTCTGATGCCCAAGGGCAGGAGAGGGACATCCTGGATCTGCAGGAGAAAGAAAATATTTGCCCCTCCTCCATTTTTTTGTTCCACTTGGACCCCTAACTAATCAGATGGTGCCCGCCTACATTGAGGGGGGATCTTACCCACTCGGTTCACAGACTCACATGCCAATCTCCTTCAGAAACACCCTCACAGACACCCTCAGAAGCAATGCTTTACCAGCTAACTAGGTATCCCTTAATCGGGTTAAGTTAACTCCAAAACTTGACCATTGCAGGTGCTCAGCTTCCTCTTCCAACCTCCTCTGCCATCCTCCTACTATGTATACCCCACTCTCCATCAGAGTGCTGTCCTTGTTCCCTGAGCACTTCTAGTGCTCCTATCGGCCTCACCCAGATGCCTTTCTGCATCTCTGCCATGCTCTCCTGCAGTGAGCCCACCCTGCTGCCAAAGGTAGAGGTCTTGGCTCTATCTCATATTCCTTCAGCATCCCTCATCAGTCACTTGCTACCCATCAATCAATCATTTGCCACACATCAGTCAATCATTTGCCACCCAGGCCTATTCATTTTCCCTCACTGAAATCTTTTAATACATTTCCTGCATTTCCTCTGTATTCTTTACCTTAGGTTAGGCCTCTTTCATATCTTACCTCTATTATTACAGTAGCTTCCTGTGATGGTTAATTTTATGTGTCAGCTTGATTAGGCCATGGGATGCCCAGATATGTGGTTAAACATTATTTTTGGGTGTGTATGTGAGCATGTTTCCATAATACATTAGCATTTGAATTAGTGGGTTGAATAAAACAGATGTCCCTCTTCAGTGTAGGTGGGCATTGTTTAATCCATTGAGATCCAAATAGGACACAAAAGGGAGAAGGTTGAATACCCCCTCTCTGTTTGACTGCTTGAGGTAGGACATAGGTCTTCTCCTGTCCTTGGACTAGAACTTACCTACTGGCTTTCCTGGGCCTCCAGCTTGAAGATCATGGGACTTCAAACTTCCTAATGCTGTTTGCCTTGCTTGCTCCCTTTCAATCTATCCCATCATCCTTCTGGCAGGGTGATTTTTCTTTTTTGTTTTTTTGAGAATGGAGTCTAGCTCTGTCACCCAGACTGGAGTACAGTGGTGCAATCTCAGCTCACTGCAACCTCTGTCTTCCAGGTTCTAGTGACTCTCTTGCCTCAGCCTCCCCAGCAGCTGGGACTACAGGCACACACCATCACAACTGGCTAAATTTTGTATTTTTGGTAGAGATGGAGTTTCACCATGTTGGCCAGGCTGGTCTCGAACTCCTGAACTCAAGTGATCTGTCCTCCTCGGCCTCCCAAAGTGCTGAAATCACAGGTGTGAGCCACTATGCCTGGCCAGGGTGATTTTTCTAAAATGCAGTTATAATCATGTCACTCTCCTGCATACAACAATCCTTTGATGCTTTCCCATCAGTTTGTACATAACAATCAAAATCTTTTCTTAGTCCACTTTGTATTGTAGTTATATGTGCTTTTGTTTTGTCTTTCCTCTGCTATTAAAAGCCACTGGACAGCAGGGACTGAGTGTTACTCAGCTTCGTATTCCCTGGAGTACCTAGTAGAGTAGCTTGCATATAGTAGGTGTTCCTTAAATGCCTGTTACATGATTGTATCAACTGGAATTAATATTATCTCCTTTACCTTTCTGAAGGTAAATGCAATGATTAAATATGAAGAAGAGCATTGACAAGATGAAATGGGCTCATTCTCAGCAATGTTATTTCAAAAAGAAAACCTGAGTGATTCACGTATTCATATGTCCATCTGAAAATGTCCTTCTCTCAACAAACTACTCAGTGAAAACTCATCTTCATATAGTTAATGCTGGAGTGCTAATAAACTGTTGCAAATTTCAAAAATAGTGTCATAACTTCCTATACAGAGTCTAAAGAAAGTGGAGGTGTGATGTAGTCTAGGGTTATCAATAGGGCAGCATGACTTGATGGGGCTTAAGACTTCTACACACAGCCAGCAAGCATTTAATGAGCATCCCTGAGGGGCTTAATGTTCCATACTATTACTCAAGGACTTTTTCTTATTTGCCAAGATTACTTGGTAAATCTACAAAGCCAAGTGGCCTATGGCCAGAGTTCAAATAGTTTCTTGTCAATTCTTCCCTCCCTTTCACAGTTGCAAGGCATGGAAAAGAGGAAATGGGATGAGATGGGATGGCTTTCGTCCTGGCCTGCTTCAAGCACTGTTTCACCATAAAAAAGGAACTCTCCACTGCTCCTCTTAAACAGATAAAATATTTTGTGCTTAGAATTCAATGACTCATCCCACTTGGACATAACTACATTCTTTCTAGGGCGGAAATCTCGCATTCAAGTGCAGCTGGCCAAGTTGAAGAAAGAACTTCAAGGCAGTTCTGGGAAAGAACTTTAAGCCTTAGCCCTGATTATGAGAAAGAAGTTTTGCTCTTTGCAAAGGATTAGGAGCATAACTGTGCTAGTGAATAACAATCTCGGACTTAGCCAAAGAATGCTTGGGTGGGATTTTGATTATCATTATGGTATTTTTTAAAATGTAAGCATCTAAGTCTTCAAATTCTTTGATAAATTTAATTTTAATACTTAATTTTGGGCAATCAAAGCACAAAGAAGTAGAAACTGGAGTGAAAATGGGTGGGTTACCAGATACTTACAATAATAAAAGTGTCATTTTGCCAACTTATTTTGTAGCTAAAATTACAATTTTCAATGCTATATGTAGTTGAAGATAGCCATCATCTGCGAGTGCTTATTATATGCCAGGAACTAAGCTAAGCTCTTAACCTGCAAAATTTCATTCAATCCTTGCATAGACACTATGTGATAGATGGACTACAATTGCCACATTGAATCAACATTTGCCTGAGAGACCAATGGGCATTTATTGAACACTATTTAGGGATTAATGTGAAGCGGTGGCAAAGAAGGAAAGGTATAGCATTTAGAGGAACACAGTATTTCATAGAATCTTAGTGAGGGAAGGGATGTTGAAGGACTAAGGCTGATGCCAACTCCGTTGGGCAAGTAATCATCGCTTCTAGCTTTTATAAATTATTAAAATATATTTTGATTTCAGTTTTTCTGATCTGTTTATATTGTCTCTTAAGTCCTTTAGAATCACTTCACACTATGCTCTCATCCAGGTGAAAAGGAACTCAGAAAGAATGTAATTAGCCTCATTTTCTAGCCTAAAACCTTGTGCAGTGGACCTAGAGGCTCCCAAACACGTGCTAAGGTGTAAGGGCCCATGGGCTGCATATCAGTAGGTAACCAAGGCATTCTTTTGTGTATGTGTTGCCCAAATCCCTTAAGAGCACCTATACATCTTGACAATTTTCAGTACAAATCCTTTTCAAGTGAAAAATAAACAAGTATTTAATACTTAAAAATCTTTCTTTCTGTTTCAGACAGAATTCCAGCTGTCTGCTTCTTCCGTCCCTCCAACAAAAACAAAACAAGGGACTTGCATCCATTTACAGTCTACATAGTTTAATCTTCGTGCTATCTTATAGGAGGAGTTCCTCTTGCTGTATTTCTGATATTGGCAACCTCTTCCATTGTCTGCATACTCTCTGGTATCCCTTAATGCTATGCCATAGTCATTGCAACTCTGTTAGTTCAAACCTATATTAGTTATTTTTTAAATTGCTGTTGCTTACTAATTTTAGGTTCATTTTCAGTCCTACCCTTTCCCTACCAATCTACCATTGCTGCCGCCATTACCTTTACAAAACACACCACAAGTCTTATCTGCATTAAACCTGCTTAAAACTGGTGATAAGCCCTCACTGTTCCTTAAGGCCTGCAGGATAAAATACCAACTCCTCAGTGCTGGGGTTTGGAGCAGAGCTTAATTACTCACTTTTCTTCTTTTGCACATTGTGGATCAATTCTGAATTGGACACATAAGTCAGATGGGAATGAAAATGCAGTGCCTGATTCACTGCTGAGAATGCAGCACTGGGGCTGGGGCCAGAGGCAGGCTAAAATGAGGCCATGGCAATCTTCCCCGTGAATTTACCTAAGTTCAGGAAGAGCTGCTGGGGAGCAGTATCCCATTTTCTTTTGGTGCAGGCTTTGGGGTCTGGAGATTACTTTAGAAGTTGAACAATCTATGACAAGCCTGTTTGCAGGGTTTGAGGAGTCTCTAGAAATAACCTTTAGAATCTCAGAGGGAGGCCAGACTATTCGATATTTAGAAATTCAACAGGCTAGTCAATTAGAACAGGGATCTACTATGGCATGTTCCTTAAATCCAACCTGGTTTTGGAGTTTCTGTCTCTGAATAATGTCTTTACCTTCTTGCCCCTTGGTCCCTGCACTTAGAACCATGGGCTGGCGTAATGAGGGGGGCTGTCTCTTTAAAATGAGCTTGTCTTTTAAGGCGGGGAGTACATAGCCAGAAGTTTTTGGTAAGGGCCTAGGAAATTAGGTTTCCCCCAGTGTTCCTGCTTTTCCTGCAATTCAGTATTATCTCCTTTCAAAACAGAAAACTCATACTTTGTGTCTTCTCAAGGATTGCTGGAGGAAGAAATGATCTCTTTGGTGAGGCTACATAGGCCCTTCCCTCTGTTGTAGAGGGACAGCTTGGTCTGAAGCTTCTAGGATAATAAAGGCTGCAAAATATGGTCGGCCCATTTTAACTTTGTCACAACATATCTGGAGAGACACAGAAGTGAATTTGTTGAGTCCCAGGAACAGCAAGGAAAAACCTTCCCTGCTGCTTTGCTACCACTTAAGAGGCACCACTAACATCCCAGGTAAAGAGGGGCAGTGTTGACCGCCCAGGGTCCCACCTGTTGTCTGTCTTTCCTTTCATTTTAATGCCTGTCAATTCCAACACCCCACTTCCAGGTACCCATCTCTGCATTTGGCAGGATTGTTTTGGGTGCAAATGAGAGAAACCCAGCTCAAGCTAGATTATGGCTGGAAATACGGAAGTCTAAGGGGTATCTCTGGCATCAGGCTTGGCTGCATCTAGGGGTTTAAACTGCATTATGAAGCCTTTCTCTCTCCATATCTTGGCTCTTCCCTCTGGTGGTCTTTAGCTTCAGAAAGTCTCTATTTTTATAACTCTTTCTGGTACTAGAGAAAGAAAGACCCTTCTTTTCCCAGAAACTTTATATCAAATATGATGAAGAAGGTCTGATTGGTGCTCAGTTTGGGGCTAATCTCCCTGATCAATTGCAGTGGCCAGAGGGATGAGCTCTTCTGAACAGCCAGGTCTGGGTCATATGTCTTGTGCCTATCTACCTCTGGGAACCAGAGGCAAAGGTAGAAGGAGGTTGGGCTTTTCTGAAGGAAGACAGTGGAACAGACAAGAAACATATGTTCACTATACAGACTCTATCACACTGTACTGTAATTATGTGTTTATGTGCCTGATTTAGTTTCCACATCAGACTCAGAGCTGCTACATGGTGAAGATCACAATTTGTCAGTCTCAGAAAGTCAGATGGACACGGCTAAGTCTGGATTTCGCTCCCTTCATAAAGGAAAAAAAGAGAATTTCCCAAGCACTGCAGCCATGTGGCCATGTGGCATCTCCCCTAACCACCAGAGCCAGCCGGGTCAACACCCTTTTCGTCACACTGAGAAAGGATGCTGGCACAGCCCCTAGCCTTCAGCGTTGCTGTTTTCTTGGAGGTCTGCAGAGAGGTGGCCCTGGCCAAGCCATCTGCTGAGCTTTTCAGTGCCCCACATGCTGCCAAATTTTCCCAGGCCACAGGGGTTTCTGAATAGAGGATGGAGGATCCTCCATGACTCAGTGGTGCACACAGTCAAGGGCACTGCCACCCAAATGGCCTATACTGCGAATTCCTTTTTATCATGTTCTTTAAAAAATAAACGTCTTATGCTGAATTAATTTTAGCTTCACAGAAAAGTTATAAAGAGAGTACAGACTTCCCATACATCCTTCAGCCAGCTCCTCCTTGTGTTAACATCTTATATAACCCTGGTGAATTTGTCAAAACAAATGAATTAATATTAATATTAACTAAACTATAGGCTTGATTCAGATATCTGTGGTTTTCTCACTAATAATCTTTTTTTCTTCCAGAATACCACATTGTCTTTAACCAAGTTCTTTTGGTTTACTCACAGAACTAATTCTCTGAAATCAAGATGCTGGTGTGGAAGGTTGATTGCCCTAATGGTCTGCATTGATCATCCCTCCTTGTAAACATGCTGCTTGCAATGCAAAGTATTAGTGCTTCCTATAAAAAGGTGGAGTCTCTTTCCCCTCTCTGGAATCTGGGCTGGCCTGTAATTTGCTTTGGCCAATAAAAGGCAGCAGATAAGAAGATATGCCCATTTTGAGCCTGGGTCCCAAGAGCCCTCATTCATTCTCTTAGATCCCAGCCTCCTTCACAAGAAAAAGGCCGAGCTAGCCTGCTGGATTGAGTACATGAATCAGACAGGAAATATCCCAACTGAATACTGAGGCTGTACTAGACCCACCAGCCCCCAGCTGAACTTCTAGCTAACTGCTGATTCATGCATGAATCCAACCAAGATCAGTTAAGTCCCAGAGCATCGGGATTAACCAGGTGTACGGTCAACTTGTGAGCAAAATAAATGTTTATTAATATAAGCCACTGAGATTTTGTGGTTGTATTTATGTAGCAGTATTGTGGCAATAGGTAACTGATATGGCTGGATCAGGATGGATTCTGGTATCAGCCATCCAGTGGCTTAGGTTGCACTGTCACCAACAAGGTCAGTTATATTTGTCAAATTTTTCAGATTGGGGGACTTCTTGGGACTGGTCTCAGACTTTTGTAACCAGCTTTAGCGAAAATTTCTTATAGGAGCCACTATTTTTTTTCATCTTAGTGAATTTGAATAGAAAACCCATGCATGGAAAGTGATTTCTCCCATAGCACTAGGGGGTTTCAGATGTTTTTCGAACCCTTGGTATGGCTGGTTGACTTGTGCACATTGAGTGCCATGATGGATCATCACACTATGTCTCAAGTCTCCTTCTCTCTAATTTCAAGGACAAGAAATCGACACATATTTGCTCTAGGACTTTGCTGCTGTGGATATTTCCCAAATAAGCTGTCTGTATTGGCAGAGCTTTCTGCTGACTACAGTGGGTACAAGTCTGGAATTTAAATTTCATGTCTTTAACCATCTTAGTGGAAAAAATGTTATTTTTTTGTTTTCTTTTTTCCCTCAGAGAAGCCAAAGTCACTTGAACAAGTATTCTCAAAATGGTGGGATGCTGCTTTGCGGGGCAAAATCAGTTGCAAGGGGGCATTCTATAGTACAATGCTCTTTAATCAACTTTGTTTTCTCAGTCTTGGAGCTAAATTCTGGTTCCCCTGGAGAAGGCTCTGGTTCTGTCATTAGAAGGTCTCAAGCTTTTCCTCTGCCTTTTTAATCTCTTGGATTTCTCCTGATTCCTACTGGGATAGTGGCAAGTTTCCCCAGGATTACAAAGATACAGGCACTAGTCTCAAGTTTTTGCTATTCTCCTTTCAGGGAATATTTTACTCCTATTATAACTCCCTTGCAGGGGGAGTTTCAATATCTTGTGGATGGGAAAGTAAGAGAGAAGGCAGCAATGTACTTCTGAGCTCAGATCAGTAGGAGTTGCAAAGATCGCTATTATTTAGTTTTGCCACCCAATTGTGGATGGGAAAGTAAGAGAGAAGGCAGCAATGTACTTCTGAGCTCAGATCAGTAGGAATTGCAAAGATCGCTATTATTTAGTTGTGCCACCCAATCCTTAGCGCCGTACCCCTTAGTGGCTTGCAAGAGTGTGACACCTGCTTTGCAAACTCTGCAAGTCTGTGCTATGGCTGTTCTTGTTAGATTCTCACTGATGCTGCTACTTCAGACTTAAGGGTTATTTTAAAATCACTTACTTGAGTGTCCCTTTCAATAACTGGAAGAAACTAAGGAGCTAGGGTTATCCCTCAACCCTGCCATTCTGTGTGCTCAGGCAGCCCTGTCTATGCCTGAATGCATTACTCATTTTTTCTTTTATCTTTTTGTTTTTAAATACTTGCATTTTGTTTAAAAAATTTAAAACATACAATTACTGTGAAAATTTAAGCATAACAGAAACATATCAAATATGCAAAAAAGTCACTGCCCAGAATTCTGTATAGTTGAATGTCTATTCCTGAAACATTCTTTCTTTAAAAATATACATATAATGATCACAAAAATACATGTACATAGATTCAAAAGTTAAATAATTCAACAAGACTTATAAATGAAAAGAGGGTTTCTTTGCTCCACTCCTCTCTACTCCTGAGTTCCAGTTCTCAAAGACAATTTCTTCATCTGTTTGTGTGCTTTGTTCTCTGATTTTCAAGTTTTAAGGTAGTTTCTTCAACTATCTGTTGATCTGTTTAATTAAAAGTGAGGCAATCTAAAGATGATGGAAGGTCTGTGTGAATGGGTGGAGGAGAGGGTGTATAGGCCACACAGAGAAATTAAGTGGGGTACAGATATTTTCTCAGGCCCCCACAGAAGACCTTACATATTGGTCTTTTCTTCTGAGGCACTTCAGTTTGTTCAAGGAAGACTCTTTTAATCTCCTGGCAGGGCCCTGGGTAGAAAGGAAGATAATATACTTGGTCAACACTATTCTGGGGGCAGAGCCACGCAAGAGGCTAGGAGTCCATTAAGTATAGAGACTTTCAGTGTTGTACCTTTCTCCTTCTCATCCCCTCCCCTTCCAACCGGCCCTCCTCTATGCCTGATGTCAGCATCTAGAGAGGGCTTTTTCAACCCAACTTTTATGAGGGTTTGAAGCCCTACAGAAAATTATTTGAAAACCTATTTTATTTCTTCAGTTCACTCAAGAATGGTACATAGTTGGTACTGTTTTAGAAGCCTACAAGAGAAATTGATGTATTGTATTCAATGAATGCTTTAGGGTGTTAGGGATAAATTTTCTCCTGAACACTCGTTGAGAAGGGTTGACCTGAAGTCTTTTTGACTGCGTTTCCTACCCCCTACCCCCCTCACAGAATAAATGTCTCATCTCTTGCTGGGGGGCAGGGAAGGGTAGTTGTCTGGATGCATGAGATGGGGAAGAGGATGCGGAGGTCTAACTCCCTCTTACAGGATTTTAGACACTCCTGTTTGCAGTCCCCTGTCCACCTTTTGGAGGTAGCTGGTACCTCTAGTGGCTAAGTGTTTCTAGGTTTCATGGAAACAAGAGACTTGCTTTGTATTTGCCTTCTCATCCCCACACTTGGTGTTCAGCTTTTTCAGTTCGTTACCAATTTTCGGTAAGGAAAAGTGTATTAATGTCTCTTTGCACTATTGAAACTGTGTTGACACCTCTTTGCACTATTGTGTGCTCTTACATTCTCTTGGACCTTGTGGGTTTATATCTTGATTTTGTTCTTCTTATCTCATTTTTGTGGGTTTTGTAAAAAAGTAACATCCATGTTCCATGTGCTGTGAAGCTTTCAGTTTTTAGGCTTTGTAGGGTTTTTCTGAATATATATAATTTTTTGCTATATCTCAATAATTATATTCTTTGGGAATCTTGTCTTGCTTTTTAAAAATTGCATCATAAACTGCTTTAATAGGAAAAGGGGTTTGAGCCAGAGAGTTTAGAACTTTGAAGCAAGTTTTTTTTTTTTCTTCCCATAGGGATTTCAGTAACTCTTACAAGAACAGCAACAAAACCTAAATGTCACTAGGCATATTAGTATTTGATTATATACAACATTTCTTCAAGAGGATGGATTTTCTTTTCTTACAACTGTCAATACTTTCATTAACACAGAGCTCATATTCATATCATTCTCATCATCCATTTTTCCCCATTATCATAAAAACAAAGCAGGAAGTCACACAAAGGAAGCAGCTCTGGTGATATAGTTTCTCTGTGTGAACTTAACTTTGGCTGTGATGTCAAGGATTAGGTGTGATAGTCATATCATATGTAAGTCCTCACACACAAAGCTATATTTAAAACATATAAACTGGATCATAACGCACCTACTGTTTTGCAACATGTCATTTTTCTTTACATATTGTGAGTCTCTTCCATGTCAGTACATAAAGAGCTAACTCATTCTTTTTTTTTTCTAAAATATCTTTGTTTCTATTTTTTTCTTTCTATTCAAGGCAATATTGTAATAAACATGCATTGATACACTATTGCTCATTTGTTTACATATTTCAGAAGAATTTCCTTCCCCCAGAAGTAGAGTTCTGAATCAGAGTCTGCACCCTGCACACTTTGATAATTAAGGCCAATTGCCTTTTCAAAAGCTTCTGTCAGTTTATGTTTTCCCACCAATTAAGTGTCAGGATGCTCACTTTTTCATTCCCTCTCCAAACTGTGTGTATGTCCTTTTCGTCTTTGCCTCTCTGATAAGCAAGACAGTATCATGTTATTTTACATGCTTTTTTTTTTTTTTTTTTATGAGCGAGCGAGGGCATTGCTCTTTGCTGTACTTCTAGTCTCCACACACAGATACTTTCCTCTCATTCCTGATAAATGGTTGAAGAGTCACTAGCTCAGTCCTGAGGTTTTCAACAAGTCCAGAGGCTTGTTCATTAAAGGGTGGTTGTCCTGATAACATGAACAACCTGAGTAGCTTATCTTTTCTGCCTCCTGGTTCTACTCTTGTTGCATTTGAGAAATATGCCAGCTCAGGACTCAACTGCTCCTTCCCTGGTGCTGCTTTCCCTTTGCTCTCCAAGAAGTTTGAACTCTCAATAATAATTGCCTGCAGCTATAGGCAGAATAACCTCTTTAGTTGCCTTTTTTTTTTTTTTTTTTTTTTTTTTTTTTGAGATGGTGTCTCGCTCTGTTGCCCAGGCTGGAGTGCAGTGGTGCGATTTCCGCTCATTGCAAGCTCCCCCTCCTGGGTTCATGCCATTTTCCTGCCTCAGCCTCCCAAGTAGCTGGGACTGCAGGTGCCCACCACCGCGCCTGGCTAATTTTTTGTATTTTTAGTAGAGACGGGGTTTCACCGTATTAGCCAGGATGGTCTTGATCTCCTGACCTCGTGATCCGCCCACCTCAGCCTCCCAAAGTGCTGGGATTACAGGCGTGAGCCACCAAGCCCAGCCAGTTGCCTTTCTTGGTGCTTTTGTCTAATTTTTGAGAGTTTTAAAAATTTACTTTACTCCTATTATAACTCACTTGCAGGGGGAGTTTCAATATCTTGTGGATGGGAAAGTAAGAGAGAGAGGGCAGCAATGTATTTGAGAAACATGTTTGAGAAATGCATAGTTCCCTATGGTAGTCCTGAGAGATATACAAACTAGTTAAAGTTGCCCGTGGCTTCAGAGTAGAGTAGGGAAGTGAATTGGACCCCTACTACGAATCTCTGCATATTCTTTTTTTTTTTTAATTTATGGATGCTACATTTATTTTTTTCTCTTTGAAAGTTCTTTTTTTAAATTATACTTTAAGTTCTGCAGTACATGTGCAGAACGTGCAGGTTTGTTACATAGGTATACACGTGCCATGGTGGTTTGCTGCACCCATCACCCTGTCATCTACATTAGGTATTTCTCCTAATGCTATCCCTCCCTTAGCTCCCCAGCCCCCAACAGGCCCTGGTGTGTGATGTTCCCCTCCCTGTGTCCATGTGTTCTAATTGTTCAACTCCTACTTTGCGGCACTGTTCACAATAGCAAAGACTTGGAACCAACCCAAATGCCTATCAGTAATAGACTGGATAAAGAAAATGTGGCACATATACACCATGGAATGCTATGCAGCCATAAAAAAAAATGATGAGTTCATGTCCTTTGCAGGGACATCTATGAAGCTGAAAACCATCATTCTCAGCAAACTAACACAAGAACAGAAAACTAAACACTATAGAATCTCTGCATATTCCTTAGGCTTCGCCTCTTTCTCCAGCTACTGCTACAGCATCCAGTTCCATGCAGTTTCACCTTTAACCAAATTTGGGAGGTGAATGTTGATTGTACCTTACTTTGAACCTCGTGCTTCCAGTTTGGGGGCTTCTCTGAGGCAGTATCATGGTCTACCATAGGACCCCAGCTGGCACTAATGCACATGGCTCCTGGATTCACAGAGGAGTTAACACCCTGGGGGCAACCTTGATCAATAGGGGATGGGTGCTGCCAGATAATGTTGCCTCCCTCTTTTCCCCTAGGTGGATGGTGCTGTGATGCATTATGATTCCTTAGCATGTTCTGTGGGCATGAATTGCCTATAGCAGTGGCCAATGCATTTGTGGTGAGCTGAATAATGACACCTCAAAGGTGGCCATGTCCTACTCTCAGAAATCTGTACATGTGTTATCTTACATGGCAACAGGGCCTTTTCAGATGTGATTAATTTAAGGATTTTGAGATAAGTAGAGTATCTGAGATATGCAGCTGGCCCAGCGTTATCACAAGGGCCCACGTAAGAAGGAAGCAGTAGAGTTAGAGACAGTAGAAGGTGTGATGATGGAAGCAAGGTGCTGGAGGGATGTGAGAAAGATGTCACAGGCCAGGGAACACTGGCAGCCTTGAAAATCTGAAAAAAGCAAGGGAATGGATTCTACTTTCAGAGCTTCTAGAAAAAACCAGCCCTAGAAACACCTTGATTTTAGCCCATATGATACATTTTAGTTCTCTGACCTTCAGAAGCATGAGATAATAAATTTGTGTTGTTGTAAGCCACTAAATTTGTGGTAATATGATGCAGCAGTAAAAGGAAATGAATAGAGCATCCATGTTCCATTCCCAGTCCTCACTCCCCTTCCTTGGGATCACATTCACAAAGTAAGTGCTCATGCAACAGGCTTTGTCTTAGAGTTTGCTTTTGGGGGAACCCAGGCTAAAACAGGAATTGAGCTGCTACTGGCAATTTCTATGATGTAGTTTGGATATTTGTCCCCCACACCTCCAAGTCTCATGTGGAATAGTAATCTCCAGCCTGAAGTTAGGGCCTGATGGGAGGTGATTGGGTCATGGGGGTAGATTCCTCATGGCTTCCCTCATGGTGTTGTCTTCAGGATAATGAGTGGTTCTCACGAGATCTGGTCATTTAAAAGTGTGTGGTACCTCCCCCGCTTCTCTTTCTGTCTCTCTCTCCCTCCCTCCCCCTTCCCTCTCTCTTTATATCTTCCTCTCTGTCTCTCTTTCTCACTCCTGATCTGGCTATATGATGTGCTTGCTCCTACTTCACCTTCCACCATGACCGTAAGCTTCCTGAGGCCTCTCCAGAAGCTGATGTCAGAGCCTGCAGAACTGTGAGCCAATTAAACCTCTATTCTTTATAAATTACCCAGTCTCAGGTATTTCTTTATAGCAATGCAAGAATGGCCTAATATATTCTAAGTTGTGTTTTTCATGAGGAACAGATCTAGGACATGGAAGTTGATTCATCTTAGGTTCCATCCAAGATGACCATTGTCAGGAAAAGGAGATGTCAGCTGAAAGATGCTTGTGTCGCCAGTGACCCGGGATGGAGGGACAAGCCATCAGTGGCAGGCCAGAGTACTCTCCCTGTCAAAGAATTGAAGGTGAGGTCCCCAGTGATGGGGGAGGCCACGTGCATGTGTGTTGGAGGTAGATCAGTCAGGGCCGAACTACGAAAACAGAGACAACTTCAAGTGTCTACAGTACCGGAAGTTTACTGTAGAGAGTTGTTTATACTGGTGACATAGGAGCTGAGAACCAAACAAAGGATGGAGAGGTAATCCAGAGATTGGCAAGAGCAGGAAGCCACTGCATCCTTATGTTGGAGGGAGAAAGCAAGGGATGGTGTTACGGGAGCCTGTGGGCTGGGGCCACTGGAAAAAAATCTGGAATCAGAGTGGGACTTTTCAGTAGGAGGTCATCTGAAGTAGTGGGGACATTTAAGTTTTATCTCCCCATTTTGAAGAGTTTTGCAAATAAATTTTTGAAAGAAGAACACAATTAGTTGAATCCTTTTAATCCTGTAGGTACATAGAAACTTTGTGACTGGTCCCATTGGAGTGCCCTTCAATTGACTAGAGGTAATGAGAAAGAACCCACCCTCCTTTCTTTATATCTGCTAGTGGGTTGGGGCCAATGGTCACATGATTTTTTAATTAATTCCACTGTAGGGACAGAAATATGGGAATTCTTGGCATTTGGCATTTATCATTTTGGGGTTTCAGCACCAATTAAGACTGAAATGTTCACTCTGTTTTAACATTCTTTGATACTTATACTTGGGATGATTACACGAATAGAAAAAAAGGGGTGTAAGAGTATTAGGTTATGAAGATATAAGGAAAGTTCTACCTAGGCATGTTTACCTTTTGTGATTGTTGAAATTCATATTTCTTACACATGCACACATGTCTGGAATTCTGAAGAATCCTTGTGTAAGGCACATCTACTCTACAAACTAACATAATCCTAGATAAGAATTGGAGCAAGTGAGTCTGAAACCAGAGTTTTGACCCTTTGTGAAAACCGGTGTGCAGCAAAGAAGTAGATTTTCAAAAATCCCTGTTAGTTTTCGAAGCGAGACTGTCATAAGAGCATGGTTGAAAGTGTCATGGTCAGACAGAGACCCATTACAGAAAGAGATGGACATGGAAAGACTGCGACTTCAAAATATCAAGGCGCTGAAAGCATTGAATCTCTTCTTAAAGATGGAATGCCATATCATCTGGGATGAGAAGAATGGAGATCTGGGACATGATGGGAGTGCTTTTGCTTTGAAGGGGTGGATTGGACCCCATAATTAGGCAAGGAAAAGCTTAAAGCTAGGAGTCGGGACATTAAAGTGGGCTTGGGAGATCTGTGGAGATCCACATAGGGACCAGAAACTAAGAAACCTTCGACTTTTTCTGCCTAAGGCAAAAATCGCAGGTGACCACACCTTAGAGACCCAGTGACTCTGGGGAGGAAGAGAGAATGGCAGAAGTTTGGGTTGGTGTTTCACCTAAGACTTCTCTCTGCCTTTAGGTAAAGAGTTGTCCACTGCCTGAAGCCATTTCAACATTTGGGGCTGAACAATCTAGGTAGGGTAGTAGTAAGTGAGGTCAGTAATGTTGGGTAAAAGAAGAGCATCCTGAAAAAACAAATAGTGATTCTCTACTAGGAAAATATGTGTACTCCACTAGGATTTAGGTCCAAGCTACATGCTCTTGGGAGCCTAGTATTCTGAAGAAACAAATTCCAGATGTTAAGTTTGTTCCTACGTTCTGGGAAGGGAAGTTGTATGGGGTGCACTAAGATGTTAGCAAATGTCATTTATAGGGATGCAAAGCTTTATGAGGGGATAAGTAAAGCAGGGCAACACACACACACACACACACACACACACACACCAGGAAAGAAAACAGATGAAGAGCCTCAGCAGACTAGACTGGGGTGGTCAGCGTTGCAGGGTGGTGCTGGAGGAGTATGCATGGATCATGACATGCGAGGTCAGTGGGCCACGTGATGAGAAGAACAGACTTGGAGGGACCACATAGAGAAGAGCAGTGGAGCCCTGAGACTCTGTCTGGCTTCTGCCATGTGAATACGATTGAGGGTGTGATAGTCCAGTCGATGTCTGCCCATCCCCACCTACATGACCTGTGCCAGCAGCTTGTGCAGAGGAGCAATGGCAGCTGTTTTCCTAGTGGATGTCTGGTGAGGAGCTTCATCAATAGCTGATGTAATGGGCTATAGGAATTCCTGTTCAACTCTGTCTGAAATCCCCAGTATAAATCTCCCGCTTTTAAGGATCCAGACACTTACCAGTCCAACTCTTCAACCTCATCTACAGAATACAAACAAAAATGGACATTTAAGTCCTTGATACCCAGTGGGATGGGGAGCGTAGGAGAGCAAATCCCCATATCGTTACTTGGGTGACTAAAGGGAAACAACTTGAGATTCTTCCCCAGAGATGGGACATGTGAAAGCATGGACATGTGTACCACTGTTAGATGAGCAACAAAATGACATTTTCTGATGTCATTTCCCCACCCTATAACTCACATTGCCATTTTAGTGAAACCCAATTAATATTCTTTTTAACTTTGCTTTTCCCCAAATATGAGTGTCACCAAAATTTTTATCATTTGCATTTATCTTTGACACTGTAGTCCACATTACCTTCATGATCTCAGTATCAGCAAATGTTATCTAGAGTTCATAGGTGTTACTGAAACTCTACACTTTCCCCTCCTATAGCCAGGCTTGAGGTAGGATTGGTAAGTTCTCTCTAAAAGACCAGGTAGACTGCTTCTTGACAGGGCTTGTCCTGATTGGAATGATTCAGTACAGGCAGAAAGTCAAAGGTTTTGTAATTATTAGCAATTTGTAAATATTTAACATAATACCACATCAGACATAGATTTACTTTGCTGTTTTAAAAGTGCTTCCGACTCCAAGTCTAGAAATACATTCAGCCCAACTCTGGAAAATTTACACTGAAGACATTAGAGCAGATAGCTTGGCAGTTGCTGAATGTAAATCCTGTCTTGGCAGGGAAGGGAGAAAACCCAGGCTTTCCAGTATGATACAATATAGAAAGGCAAGTGGAGATCTTTTCTGAATGATTCCACAGGGGACTCACTTTCTCTGTGCATGTTCGAGTGTCCTGTGGTAACCTCTTAGGCTGCTGATGAAAACATTAGGGAAATGCTGAGCTTGGAAAATGCCAGAGGTTCTCTATATCCATTTGTTTTGCTATTTAAGTAAAATAAACAATTTGGATGCTATTAGAGGTAACTGGCTTGCCAATTTCAATTTGTCAAAATTAATCTCTTTTGAGTTATATGAACACACACAAATATAAACCTGTCAGAAATATTTTTAACTAATTTAAAAATTAATTAACCAATTTTAACTAATATTTTAAGCTTAAAGTCCCCCAAGAGTTAATGTAAACCTTCAAATTAGGTCTTAAAGAGAGTGTAAAGAAAAATATCAGTGAAGTCTCAAACCAGAAGATATAATTTTTTTAATCTCCAAACTCTCCTGGATTTATAAGCATTTGAAAAACAGGATGACCTTTTGGGAGTTACCACCTGAGACACTACTATTCTCATATTTCATCTCGCTTGTGTTTTAGACATGGTAGAGCAGATTTGGTAAAGTATAAAAGGAACTAAATGTTTTAAATTTTTGCATGAAAATTTTTTGAGGGAGTAGGGCGGTATTTGTACTTTTAAGACTGCTTTCAGATTTCTGTCAAATGTGGCTTCAAGACTATACAGAGAAATGAACAAGACTGGAAAAATGAGAAGTGAGACCCTATTAACTTAGTGATAAACTACCCTCTATCACCATGTTAGGGCACATTGGCTGCTAGCAACAGAGACCAACTCTTTCCACCTTAAGCATATGAGGACTTTGTTGGAGGCATTCTGGATAGTGAACAGATTCCAAAGAATTGCTGAATCACTGTGCTGCTGGAAGGAGAGCTCCAGGGAACTGTCAGGAATTCACTGACAATCATGTCTTCTTTGGACTCTGCCCCTGGAAACACTCAGCCCTAATGGCATCTGTCTGTTTTTCATCCTGCTATGGATAGATGCAGTCTGCCAGGAAAGAAAGTCCGATTGGTCTAGCCTGGGTCACATGCCCTCCCTTCAGACCCCCTTGAGACAGACAGGAGTAGAGGGATGGGAAGAGGTATGGTCCTCCGAAGGAAAAGCTGGGGTTGTTACCGAGAGAAGAGGGGAAGGGAGTACTGTGGCAAAGTAGAACCATCAAATGGAATTTTCTTTCCTGCTGCCCCTTGAGCCATATCACACCAAGTCAACATGAATGCAGTAGAAAGACCGTATTAAGATTAACAATCTACTTCTTCGCCATGTTTTTAGCGTTCTTTTTCTGATGTTTTTGTATGGATTCTTAGTGAAAAATTCTGGAAGAAAAGGCACTGAGCTGATAAAAAGGGATAGGTTAGGAAAGTTCAATGGTCAAAGCAGACTGCCAAACACATTCCTCATTGTTAGTAGAATTTTTTTTAAAAAGTCCAATTTACATTCAGACAGAGCTGAACAGGCATTCCTATAGCCCATTACATCAGCTATTGATGAAGCTCCTCACCAGACATCCACTAGGAAAACAGCTGCCATTTCTCCTCTATTCTATTTTCTCCCATAATTATAATAATAATGTGCTCTATAATTCATGCAGATTCTTGGTAAATCTTAATAAGAGTAACTGGAAACCAGTTTGCAATCAGTGTTCTAAATATACTCACCTTGACACTGGGAATTACCATGCATTTAAATGTAATGACATAAACTGTTCCTATCTGATTATAGTAACATAATGAGATGGTTTCCATATCAGATATGCATTTAATTAAAAGAATGTGTCAATGATGAGCATATAGGAAATGATTTATATAATTAATGATAAACATTGACTTTATAAATAACTTTATTTTTAATATTCCTATCCCTTCTCCCCTCTATCCAGAGTTCTGAGGTTCTCCTATGTGAAGAAAATCTTGCCCAACATTTGTATTTATTTTTTTTATTTGAAGTGGAGTCTCACTCTGTCACCAGGCTGTAGTACAGTGGTGCAATCTCGGCTCACTGCAACCTCCACCTCCCGGGTTCAAGCAATTCTCCTGCCTCATCCTCCCAAGTAGCTGGGACTACAGGAGCACACCACCACACCTAGCTAATTTTTGTATTTTTGGTAGAGACAAGGTTTCACCATGTTAGCCAGGATGGTCTGGATCTCTTGACCTCATGTTCTGCCCACCTTGGCTTCCCAAAATGCTGGGATTACAGGTGTGAGCCACCGTGCCCGGCCGCATTTGTATTTCTTTTAGGAAAAGTTTCCACAATTTGCCTGATATGTAGGCAGATGATCATTTACTTTGACGCCAATGAAGCTTTGATTTCAGTATCCCTCACTTCTATGGGCCTCTTCCAAGTCCCTGTAGCTAACTTTATATTTTTGTGGAATTTTTCTTAAAGATAATACCTCAAGTTGTGTTAGCTTTAGGCCCTACAAACCTGGATCTGTCCTGTTGTAGATTTTGTAGATGTAACTAACCCACATAGGCTATCCTCCCTGCCACACCCTGATTGTTCAGCCTGCATCAACCCAGATTTGGAACATTGTACATTCATTGGTTTTGTTAAGAAATCCAATAAACAGCTAGGATTTTGCAAGGTCATTTTTTCCTTTTTAAAATATTTTCTGAATATATGGTGGAGAATGGGTTAGGAATCATGTAGACATGGGAGACCTACATTATGAAACATAGAAAAATATCATATTAGACACTTATGTCCACTGGACTTCTTTCTTAGCCTCACTTCTACCAAGATTCTCACCCTTCTCCTTTTGGTCTCTTGCTCTCCTTTCTCTGGATCCTCCTTCTGACTTTTCCCTGAGGTCTCCAAGCTCCTTTGCCTTCTGTTATGCAGTGTGTATAACTCCTACCCCTGGTTTGCTTGCTTGTCTACAATAGGACCTGGGGACATTTAACTGGCCTCTGATCCTTAGAAAATGCTTTAATAAAAATTTTTTATTGAGTTTGTTCTCCAATCATTGAGGTGCCTTAAATATCACTAACATGACTCGTCAAAGTATTTTGTTTTCTAAAAACGTGCAATGCTTCAATTCACAATTGCAAGGATATGGAATCAACCTAAGTGCCTATCAACCAACAAGTGGATAAAGAAAATGTGATTATATGTGTGTGTGTGTGTGTATATATATATATATATATATATATAATGGAATACTACTCAGCCATAAAAAGGAATGAAATAATGTCTTTTGTAGCAACTTGAATGGAGCTGGAGGTCATTATTCTAAGTGAAATAACTCAGGAATAGGAAAGCAAATATCATATGTTCTTACTTATAAGTGGGAGCTAAGCTATGAGGATACAAAGGCATAAGAATGATATAATGGACTTTGGGGACTCAGGGTGGCAGGAAAGGCTGGGAGGGGGATGAGGGATAAAGGACTACATATTGGGGCCAGGTGTGGTGGCTGACACCTGTAATCCCAGCACTCTGGGAGGCCGAGGCAGGTGGATCATGAGGTCAGGAGTTCGAGACCAGCCTGACCAACACTGCGAAACCCCGTTTCTACTAAAAATATAAAATTAACTGGTCATGGTGGTGCATGCCTGTAGTCCCAGCTACTCGGGAGGCTGAGGCAGGAGAATTGTTTGAACCCAGGAGGCAGAGGTTGCAGTAAACCGAGACCATGCCACTGTGCTCCAACCTGGGAGACAGAGCAAGACTCTGTCTCAAAAAAAAAAAAAAAAAAAAAGACTATATATTGGGTATAATGTATACTGCTTGGGTGATGGGTGCCCTAAAATCTCAGAAATCACCATTAAAGAAACTAGCCATGTAACCAAATACCACCTGTACCCCCAAAACTATTGAGATAAAAATAAACATTAACAAAAAATAAAAATAAAGTATGCAATTCTTGCACCAAGGATAATTTTAGAAATTGAAATATTCTCAACCTCCACATTTTTACAAGCATGTTTTCACGTTTGACCTGTACGTAATTTAAAAACATTTGGGATTGCATAATTTTCCGCCAGTTACTGTCATGTGTCATCTTCTAGACTAGGAGTAGTAGCACATAGTAGAGGTTCAACACATGAATGTTGAATGCTTATTGATGAAATTACTATTTATATAAGAGATAGCATATTGGTATCCATGTTTAATATGACTTGATATGAGAAGCTGCAGGAAACACACACACTGACTGGGCCTTTCCCCAGAGCGTTCACAGAGTCTCTATAGATTGGAAGAACAAAGAAAGGGAAAGACAAGAAAACAAAAGTAATGTGTCTGTTTACAATTTAAATGATTCATAATGAGGACATTTTGAACTAATGTCAACTATTGACATTCGTGTGCCTCCATAATATAAACAATGCTTTACAGGCATTGGATTTTCACAAAAAGATACATTCTTTTTTTTTTTCAGGTTCATTTTCTTTATTATAAAAAAAAATCCTCAGAAATCAATAATGGAAACTTCTAGACCATGATAGATAATGTGCAAAAATCATTACCAGGAAAATCATAACAGATACATTCTTTTTGTGAAAAATAATTTCACTTTTCAGACACCATTTAAAAAAATATTACACCCAAGAAAATACAGCGATGAATATGTAAAATGACAAAGAATGGATTTTATGATATAGAAAAGAGCTAACAAGGCTTTTTGCTCCTTTCAAATTATCTGAATCCTACTGAATATTATACAGGGAAAAGCAATTTTCAAAATAGCAACTGAAGAAATAAAGTATTTTTAGGGCTCTGAAATGGCTTCTACTTCCTAGGACTCCTTGCTTGTACCAAATTGTAATTTATATTTCCCTTTGATTAGTGCCAATTCTTTTCTCAAAAGGGAGACATATTTTCTGATTCAACCCAAGTGTCCCCTTGATGCCATCTGTTATTGTTGTCTCATCCTTAGAGTTGACTTGTTCCAATTTTTTGATTCAGATAGTAAGAATGCAGTAGTCAGGGGAAAAATTTCTGGCTGAAGTGCCAGCATATCCTATCAGGTATTTCTTAGGTTTTGTCACAGTGCCACTTGACTAGGATGAAGAGGATAACAGCCATGGAGGTGTTATCATCATGCTGCTGGAAGGCTGACAGTCCCTCACTGAGTAGGTTGAAGGGATGTGTAAATGAACCAACTCGGTATTTTAGTGGAGCTCTTACTATCAACCATTTGCTCAAATAAACTTAAAAGACAATAGTTATATCAACTCTTACAGCTCAATAGCTTTATTTCTAAGAGAAAACATTCACATCAGAATTTTCCATGGTAAGTCATAACTTGGGAACACTTGGTTCAGCATATCTTATAAGGCACAAAATTTAATAGAATAAAATAGAGATTAAATTTTAACATTTTAAAACGTGTTTTTATTTTACTTGTTCCTATGACACTATGTCCTGTAACCCCATCTCCTGTTCCCTCTCAATCGGTTTAATTGTCATACATTTTCTTAGCACCAGACATAAACTGAAAAATCTAAACCTAAAATATTTTTATGGACAGATTGACAGAAACTGGATTTCATATTAGGAGACATTGTTAGTTTGGAACAACATGTTCTTTTAAAAAGTACAAATGGCCAAGGACTTCTGTCAAAATTCATTTTGAAAATTAGAAAGTAAATAAAGCAAACATAAGAAAAACTTCCCTTTAGCTTTTTTTTCTCTGTTATTACAATATATTTTTTTAAATGACAGCAGCCTCCATTTATCGCTTCACCTA
Organism: Homo sapiens; assembly: GCF_000001405.40. Lineage (NCBI taxonomy): Eukaryota > Metazoa > Chordata > Mammalia > Primates > Hominidae > Homo > Homo sapiens. Next base: position 76,691,800 of record NC_000013.11, on the reverse strand, counting down.
TTGATGTAACCATAGTGGTATCATTGATTTCCAATTTTGAGGCAATCTTTTTCTTGCTGTTGGAAGCCCAAGTCTATTCATTTATTATTGTGTGTACTCAGGGGAGGGAGATGAGCCCATTGATCTAGTGGTGCACCAGCTGGTAAATATTTAATGTTTATTCCCATCATTAAAATTATTTTAGGTTGGGATATTGACAGTTATTCACATGCACAGATTGGTATAGCCTACAGTACATAACATACTCTTCAGTCGGTTTTACTTCATTGCAGCTTTGCAGATTGACTTACTTGCTGTGTAGTAGTTTTGCAGCGTTATTTTCCAGATGGTTGTCCTATTGTTCAGATTTGAATTTCAGTTAAACTTGATGTCTTCTGGTGGAAGGATTATGTAAAAGACACTTGATCCCTGCACCTGAACATTGTTAGAACTTTAGCATCCTCGAATGTACTTAAGAATCATCAACCTTTATAACGATCATAACACCTATGTTTTCTCATGTTATTTCTTACTAGAGATCCTTTGCTGCACCAAGAGAAATTCTACTTTCAGATTTTCATAATGCAATGAGTACTTTGCTTCTTGCCATGCTAGTTATTTAAATTTAAACCTTTGCTTTTATTTTGGGATCTTTGGTGGTCTGCCCAACCTCAGTCTTGGAAGCCATTGTCATCTTCCCAGGTATCATATACCTGCTGGTCCTTACAGGGGATCATGAAGGCCCAGACATATCTGAGACAGTTCTTCTAGAAACCCATTTCCTGCTGGGTTGGCTCTGATCAGCTCGAATTTTGACATCAAGGTCACGGGGCTTTTTGATCCTTGCATTGATTCTTGCCTTTTGTTCTTGGATTTGACACTTGGCTTCTATCTTTTGGCCTTTGAGCTTCCTTTTTTCCCCAACAATTTTTGGTCTGGCTGTCCCCCTGGCTCTGAGTAGTCACAGCTTCTTCTGTTTTTCATCCAAGCCGAAAGTATCCAGTCTTGATCCTAGCCAAGTACCTGATCATCAACACAGTTGAGTCAGACCAGCTGCCCCTTCAAGAGGAAAAATTCACATATTGTTTGATCTTTTCTGTCTCCTTTACAACAAAACAGGTATAAGACTCCTGCTTTCTGATTAGGGGCTTCAGAGGTTCTGTGCTATTATAGAAGTATTTCTAGTTCCATTTAAAAATTGTAAATTAATATTAACTACAGCTTATTCATTAAAAATTACACATTCATTGGCTTCTCTACCGAATTAGTTCTATAATTTCTCTCATCTTTGGGGAAGCTCGTGAGAGTCTGAGATAAGTAGGATCTCTAAACAAACTTTTGGCTAGTCATACTTGTGAAATAAACAGGAAATTGGAAAACAATGAAATATTCTACCTATTGTATGTTTAATTCAGCAAGTGCATTTTTTTTTTTTTTTTTTGGAGATGGAGTTTTGCTCTTGTTGCCCAGGCTGGAGTGCAATGGTGTGATCTCAGCTCACCACAACCTCTGCCTCCCAGGTTCAAGCAATTCTCCCGCCTCAGCCTCCCAAGTAGCTGGGATTACAGGAATGCACTACCATGCCCGGCTAATTTTGTATTTTTTGTAGAGACGGGGTTTCTCCATGTTGGTCAGGCTGTTCTCAAACTCCTGACCTCAGGTGATCTGCCCGCCTCGGGCTCCTAAAGTGCTGGGATTATAGGTGTGAGCTACTGCACCCAGCCTCATCAAGTGCATTTTTAAAAGAGAAGTTTCTTTCTGCATAGTTCTAATAAGGGATTAATCAAATATGATAAAAGATAATGTTTTGTTAAAAAATTTATGGGTGTTGAAGGAGGCAGCCTGCCTGGGTTCCACAACTGGCTTTGTGTGATTTTGGACGAGTCATTCAATCTTTTGGGCCTTGGTTTCGTCATCTCTGAGTGATAATGTTTTGAGGATAAAATAAAATAACCTATGAAGTATTTAGCATGGGGGACTTCTTCACATTAAGAGCTAAATAAATGTTATCATGATATGTATATTAGTTGACTGCTTTCATCTAAAAGTAACAGAAATTCTGGTTCAAACTGGCTCAAACACTAAGGAAGTTTTTTTTCTCATGTAACAGGAAGATCAATGGTAGGGCATTGGTTACCTCCCTTAAGGGTAACTGTGAGTCCACAGTTCCATGATGTAATAGAGATCCAGGTTCTTTCCATCTGTGATCTCCAATTCTTAGTGTCAGCTTCATGCATAGGTAGTAACATGGTCATAGCAGTTTCTACATATGACAAAACCCAGAAGAACAAGGGATGCTATTTGTGGACTGAATGTTTGTGTCTCCCCAGAATTCATGTTGAAACCCTATTCCCCAGTGTGATAGCATTAGGAGTTGGGCCTTTGAGAGGTTAGTAGGATTAGATAAGGTCATAATGGTGGAGCCCTCATAAATGGGATTAGTGCCCTTATAAGAGTCACAAGAGAGCTTATTTCCCTTCTCTGCTCTCCACCATGTGAGGATAAAATGAGAAGTCAGCAGTCTGGAACCCGGAAGAGAAACCTCATCAGAAACTGACCATGCTGGCACCCTAAAACTGGGACTTCCAGCCTCCAGAATTGTAAGAAATATACTTCTGTTGTTTATAAGCCACCCAGTTTAGGATATTTTGTTATAGCAGCCTAAACTGACTAAGATATTATTCCATTTTGCAGCTTTCTCTTAAACACGGGGAGTGGGAACCCTCATGAAAACATCTTTGTACTTTTCTTTGACCATTACCGAATCAATCACTAACAAAGGAAGTAAAATTCCCCTTAGGCTCACCAGATACATCTTCTGAATTTGAAAACGGAGTTTTTTTTTTGCGGGGGGACAGGGGAGTGGATATTCCAAAATTATGCAAACAACTCTGATGGCGTAAGAACATCTTCAGGGCCCGGTGTTACAAGTAATTGAGTTCTCTCCTCCTTTGGAGATGTATCATATTGACATCACTGAGGAAACAGTACCAAGAAATAGGTTTTCCTTGCTAGCCATTAGGATGATTTTCAAGATCCTAATTTTTGTAGAATAAAGAAGTTAAATATAGAATTTTTGGTACTTCTCACATTTAAAATAGGATAGTAAAATACTGATTCTTCAGTATCAATTTTTAAATGAAATCATTACAATAACTTAATTTGCTTGGGCATTTCACATTCTTGTGGTTTGAGCCTTAATGTACCCGTGGAGGAAGGTAGGGCAAATATAAATGTGTTTGTTTCACAGATGTAACCAGAGATGGAAAGATAAAGTGATTGTAGTTAATGTCACTCTTCTGACTAACCCTAACCCCAGGCCTTTTCATTTTACCATGCACCATGTGCCTATTATTTCCCTTGATGTTCTGTCTCTTCAACTAGGGGATATGCTGTTTAAGGCAAGGGATTTATCTTCTATGTAGTCTGGTGTCTAGTATTTTAGGTTTAAGAAATGTTTGTTGATTATAAATGATTTGCTAAACTAAAACAAGATTAAAAATCTTGAGTTTGAATCTTTCCTTGACAATGATACACTTCTAGGCAAAACAATTAATCTCCTGCCTGCATCAGTCGTAGAGGGCATTTATTTACACACAAGGAAACTCGTTATCTTCTGAAGCTAAAAAGAAAGGCAGTTTGGGTCCTAATTTCCTCTTCTTGGCTTTTCATGGCTACTTCATAGAATTTTTCTCAGATTAGACTGTGTTTTAAGGCACAAAGCCACTAGCACACCAGAAAACCTGAGGATTATAAAGTAAGCCAAAAACAGAAGTAAACAAAGCCAAAATCAAACCCAACCAAGACAAACAAAAAAGAAAAACTGAAACCATTCCCTGGAAGCAAACAGAATTATCAGCTTCCAAATAGGGCTTTTCCAGGAGAGAGGAGCACAATCAATTAGAAATTGATCAAACTAATATACACAGTTCAGGATAAGATAACAGCACCAGCATCAACAAAATCCACCATGATTCAGTAGTCTAAGATATATGAGGTGGTTTGGCTCTGTGTCCTCAGGTGGGCCAAATCTCATCTCGAATTGTAATCTCCACGTGTCAGGGGAGGGGCCTGGTGGGAGGTGATTGAATCATGGGGCGGACTTCCCCCTTGCTGCTCTTGGGATAGTGAGTCTTCAAGAGATCTGATGGTTTAAAAGTTTGTGGCACTTTGCCCCTGTCTCTCCTGCCACTATGAGAGGACATTTCTGGCTTCCCCTTTGCGTTTTGCTATGATTGTAAGTTTCCTGAGAACCCCCAGGTCATGCTTCCTGTAAGCCTGTGGAACTGTGAGTTAAACCTCTTTTCTTCATAAATTACTCAGTCTTAGGTAGTTCTTTATAGCAGTATGAAAATAGATTAATAGAATATATGAGACCACTTTCTGGCATAAATAAATAATTTTTATTAAGTTATTATTATCTAAGAAGAACTTTCTAAATGAATTAAATTGTACTGAGTTTTCTGATAGCGTCTCTTTTTGATTGGTGCTCTGTCGATTCCATTGGAAACACCTGTATGGGTCATTTCTATCCTTGGACTTAGTTGGGAGGATTCCTCCCTGAAAGGGCCAGGGTGATCAGTGCAAGGCTAGAATCTAAACCCAGTTGGAGAAATATGTGGCATTGTGCCAGTGGTTATCTGCTTGGAGTCATTTAAAAAGCAGGCTAATTATTATTATTATTTTCTATTTTCACCTGATGAACTCCGTAACATTCCAAAATCACTTTGTATTTTATCAGTGCTTTCATAACAAAATTAATAGGATCATCTGAATGGACTGTTACTGCAAAAGCTTTTAGAGGCAATAAAGGTCTTTATTCTGTGGTGTGTGGTCTGTGCAAATCCACAGGAAGAAAAATACTTAAAAATGTATATTAGCATTCAGTCAGAATATGACGATTCCCAGTAATATGTGAATAAACAAAATAATTTTAAAAATTCTAATTATTAAAGTTGGTTATTTAAGTATAGCATATTTATTTTATGAATGCTATTTGTAAGCAAACTTTGTGATTTGTTTCACCTTTGATGAATGAGAGAGATTTGAGAGCTATGAAAAGTGTACTGTTTCTGATGTAGCACCTATGGCTCTGGTTGTGATTAAAAAAATAAGCATTTTTTAAAACCAACAAACAGGCTGGACACCGTGGCTCCCGCCTGTAATCCCAGCACTTTGGGAGGCTGAGGCAGGCGGATCATTTGAGGTCAGGATTTCGAGAACAGCTTGGCCAACATGTCGAAACCCCGTCTCTACTAAAAAGAAAAAAAAAAAAAAAAAAAGAAAAAAGAAAAATTAGCTAGGCATGGTGGCACTTGCCTGTAATCCCAGCTACTCAGGAAGCTGAGGCACCGGAATCACTTGAACCTGGGAGGCAGAGCTTGCAGTGAGCTGAGATGGCACCACTGCACTCCAGCCTAGGTCACAGAGCGACACCGTGTCCCAACAAAACAAAACAAAAAACAGCAACAAACAGGCTATTTCAGTATTATGGTAAATGTTGCACTTTTCAACAGATGCACCCTGAGTTCTTAGATTATCTAGTTCCTTTATATTCTCTCCTTTTAAAAACTGGCCTGCATTTTAGTCACTTCACCAGCGAAGTTAAAAAAAAAAAAAAAAAGAATGAACCAGGCATGGTGGCGCATGCCTGTAATTCCAGCTACTCAGGAGGCTAAGGTGAGAGGATTCCGTGAGCCCAGGTGTTCCCGGTTGCACTGAGCTATGATCATGCCACCACACTCCAGCCTGGGCGCAGAGTGAGATCCTGCCTCTTAAAAAAGTGAACTAACTGTGATGGCTAAATGGAATTCTCTTGTTTGAAATATCTTTCAGACACTCATCTTGGCCTTGTCTTCTTATTTATTAAAGCTACTTCCAAGCCTGATAGTCACTGAGTTTTAATGATGTGCTGAATTGTTTGTAAGCCTCTTTGCTGTTTTGGTTTAGTAAAGCATGGCAGCCCCGTTTTAATTGACAGCGGCTCTAGTCCAATTAACTGCCAATGACCCTGACAAGTTACTTTTCGGCCAGTATATTTCCATAAAATATTTCTTCATGTTAGGCGAAAGCAAATTTGAATTTATAGTTCAGGTAAAGAGAAAGGGCATTTGAAAGTCCTGATATAATTGCTGATTCCTTGTTGGAAACACATTTAGCTGTAGTTTCAGCAATACTTTCTATTAATCTTATTGCTAAATTATTAAAATACTACTGGGGAAAAAGGATTAATTCATTAAATCTGACAAGTTCTGTTGATTTTTAGATGGCGGGTACATCTGTAAGCACTAGAGCATCACTCAGTTATGTAGATCTTCAGTAAATATTGCCCTGAACTATGGCAGCTAAGGGAAATTGCTGAAAGAGGCAATGGGTTCTTATATAAGGCAGTGCATGAAGGAATATTGTTTGCTTGTAATAGTTTGAATATGTCCAAGTTATAATCTGGGGAATGGACTAAATGACTTCATGAATTTCTTCTAGACCAAAGAGTCAATGACATTTCACCACAATTAAATCTAATTGACCTTAAATTTCAATATTGTGTTCAGACCCCATATACTCCATTGCTTATTTTCATATGTAACCTAGATGCAAATTAAATCCTTTCATGCTCCTGATAGCTAAATATTGTTTTATAAGACCCTTGCTAAATCCATGCCTTACGATTTCTGGTAATTTTAAGAACCTTTCACTCAGAGTCTATTTTTCTGCATCTCTTTTATCCTTCATCAACCAGAGTTCAAAATTATTTTCCTGCTTATTTCAGAGTAGGTCTCAAATGCCTCTCCTCCCCTAAACTTGCATACCTAACTCATAAAAGTACTCAAGAGAACAAAGGAGGCTTCATCTCCTTATATAGCAGTTGGGGGCCATTGCTAGCAAAAAAGAAAAAATAGAGACGATAAGGGGAGAATGGAAGGTCACTGGTCTACAATGTTTTTCCCTGCATATTTTTTAATCAAAATTTATTTAAGTGATAACAGCTGGTCAAATGTTTTTCTAGTCTAATTCAAAGAGGATTACCTCCTAGGGTGCCCAGTCACTTTGGCAAGACAGCAGTTTATTAAGCATATGTCACATTTGATTCCATTAGCTCTCCTTTCCCAAACATCAGCTGCAAAAGAATCTTTCTAGTTCCTGTTCTAGCCTCTCTCCCTTCCAAGTTATCTTAAAAACTTTATTCGATGGCATAACAACCTGTCTGGAACTATTTGAAAGTAGCCTGCCCTGTCTGTTTATTAGCACTCATCTCTGGGCATAATCTCTGTAACTTCTCCACTTACATCAGGATACTGCCTAGGAAAGTGGGGCAAAAGTGAAATTCCAACACAGTTGTGTCCAGTTGATGCTGACAAGCCCTGCTATTTCAGCCTGGTCTCTGTTAGGAATATAGTTGCAGCTTTAGCTAAAAGTTAGCACATTGAGATAAGTTAGAAAGGTATCCAGAATACATTCCCATTGTAATTTTTTTCTTTGTATTTATAATCAAATCATCATTAAGCCTATAGGACCACCTGGTACTATTACAGTGAATAACGAATTCAGTACACATAATGCATCCAGCTGGGAATACTTAAGAACGCTCAATACTTTCTGATGTTTTTAATAAAAATAGGTTTTAATACTTAAAAATTGCAAGATGTAGGTTTCATTGGATGCTGGTCTAAATTAGAATAAACCATAGTTGAATATTTCCTTATCACTTGAGAAATGCTATTGAATGTCTTTTGATTGTTTTCTTAGCCACAGCTGAGTGTAGCAATTTTTTTCTGAACATATTTGAGAGTTTGCAAAACTGCTTACAATAGACACTTACACAATTATATGTTTGAATTTAGTTAGTAGGACTCTGAAGTAGTTATATATTTAAATCTGCAGAATGAGGCTCTGGTATTTGTTCAGTTGTAAGCTTTGGCAGTGTGGCAAATCTATACGTTTATCTCTTTACCTATTAAGCTTGCAGTTACCTACGTGATATACTCTTTTTCCTTGGAAGATATCTGTTTTCATTGTATTCTGAAATTTGTTTCATCTTCCTTTCATATTTTTTCATTTAATTCAAGGATTAACTTTATTATGTCTCTTCTCCCTTTCCCCAACCTACCAATAGCCACAACATTTTCATGATGTTCTAAATCTTGTAGCACGGAATAGAATATAAATGGAATTCCAAACAAGCAAATGCATAATAATCCATCACCTTTTTCTAGGGCGGACAGATATCAAAGGAAGTTTATGCTTTGCTTTCAGGGTTTTTACATTCACGTATTATTTTCACTGAGGCATTTAAAAGACTTTATTAAGTTTTAGTGTTTTCTGAGGATCTTCTTATTTTATATAAACTGATATGTTGAGTAAGCAAAATATTTCTTTCTGTAGTTCTACTGTTGGGCTATTCCAAAGAAATATGTTCTTTTTCCAGGAAGGTTATGCAAGTGTGCTTGATTTGTAGTTCAGGGCCAGCAGCAAACTACTCAACACCACAGTTTCAAATAATAAGACCAATGTCCTCATTTTACAGAAGAGCAGATACAACTAGAAGAAAAGTGAGATAGCTAAGTTAACAGCAGAGCTTGATGTACCTTCAAGTATAACCTTGTTGCTTCTCGTACAGGAGTTTTCCCACATTTATTGAGCACTGATTGCATGCCAAGACTGTGTTGATGACATTTTTATATGGTATACATTTCTCCTTAATCTTTATGACTTTGCAAATTTCATATCCCCATATTGTCTCTATATAGTACATATAACTATGAAAAGCACATTAATAGCTACTGTTTACATACATTTTAAGACATATTGGACCTAAGCAAACCAAACAAATGATAATACTAATTCACCTAAAAGAAGGACACTAACATAATAAGTAATAGGATTTGTTATCCCAGAAGTAGTGATTCCAGATAATTTGACACACTTTTCATATATATTTTCAAATAAGTTACAATGTAAAAATCAAGAGATCATAGGCTCTGATATCAGAAAGGCCCAGATTCAAATCCCATCTCTATCATCTATTGGTTATGATTCTTGGCCATGTTACTTGGACCTGGGGAAAATCAACATACAAATAGAAATATGTATGATTTAGCAAGTACTCTGATTGGGACATGGCCAGGATGCTATGAGAACATGGAGAAGGGGCCCCTAGCAAGGCTGGAGGTATTGGAGAAGCCATACCTGACCCTCTACAATTGAAAAGCTAACATTCAGATCTGTGGGATGATCTGAAAGATGTAGGAAATGTCTCTTGTTCAAAAAATATATCCTTCCATTATCAACCCTTTCAGTAATATACAGCTAGGATAGACTTGCTATTGTTATAACTTCTTTAGGATCAGACTTTCTCCATAAAATAAAAACATGTCCAGAGAGTGGGGTAGTATACTCAGAACATATATCCCTGCTCTCTCTTTCCCCTTACATGAGAGGAGGGGCAGGGATTTGGGGAAATAAACAAGGATAAAGGGTTGTATATAAATGGAACATTATCCAGCCCCAAAAAAGGGAATCCTGCGCTTTGCAACAATACAGGTGAGCTGTGAGCAACATTATGTTAGACTAATCACTGAAGGGCAAATACTGCAGGATTCAAGAGTTATCCAAAATAGCCAAACACAGAGAAAAGCAGAGAGTAGGTGGTTGCAGGAGTTGGGGGAAGGGGAAATGGGAAGTTGCTGTTCAAGGGGCTTAAAGTGTCAGTTATGCAAGACAATCTAGAGACCTGTTGTACAGCATTGTGCCTATAGTTAGCCTATAGATACTCATTATACACTGAAAATTTTGTTGAGATCTCATGTTAAGTGTTCTTATCATGATAATAACGGTTGTGAGGAAGAGACTGGAAGGGATTTGGTGAAAGTGCTGAGCCCAGATGTCTGGAAGAGCACTTCTCGGCAGCAGGAAGGGAGTGGGCAGTGGGTGTGGGTGTGGGTGAATGATAAGGAAGAATTCCACTGAATCAATTATTTTTCTCAGGCCCAGATGAGTTCGTGAATTATTTAACAGTAGAGACAAATTTTGGTACCGTGACCATGTAAAAAACTGACACTTGGAAACCTGAGCGTGTCAAAGAAGGGTTTTTCTTCATCTACAGTTTCAGCTTATACATTTTATGTAAACAACCATGAGAGGGGAGTGAGCCTACCTACGAATGTGGAAGGTGCAGTAAAATAGCTACTACAAAGGAATTACCTTTCACATGAATACAGTTTTATATATTTGTCAAAGCCTGAAGCCACGGTTGCCTGAGAGCTAGAATATGAAGAGAATCTTTGGGAAAGGTATCTAACCAATCCTAAAGCTGCGGTTTTCAATCCTGTGTGTCTTGTTACACTGGCCTGCTGACCGTGCTAGGAAATGGGATTTCCCTTCGATCTCCTAAGTGCACCACTGGGCAACGTGGGCCACAGTGTTCGGTTCACATATCCTCTGAGGCTTCCGTTTTAACCCTTGGAAAACCAAATAACTTAAGGTTTACTTCATTTCCGGCATCCCAGCTTATGTGCTTTTAATAAGGTAGATTGCTACCATATCTTGTCAACACAAAAAGTCAGTGACATGAGCAAGGCATGCTTTTGGAGTAATTTTTAGTATAGGACCTCATTTTCAAATATAGGTATGCACATTAAATATGACCTAGAGCAACATAATATTTTCATGTGCCTTATGTGTCAAAATGTTATCAAATATTTGAAGACAAATGAGTAATAATTAAAGATGAATTAAAAAGTTGTTTTATACAGAATAAGTGAGAATTCTTAAATAGCTAAATAGGGTAACAGATTGATGGTTATTAACATATGAAGAGTATTTTAACTCAATGCCTTTAGAAAGAATATGCAGTTAGACATATGTTTATAGAAATACATTACAACAATAGAGAGTAGATATAATTCTAAACTTCGTGAAATTTTTAGGGAGTTAACACTAAAAATGAAAACAAAATAACTTTTAAAAACATTAATTTTTGCTTTTATTTAAGGCTTAAGCATTTCAAAAAATCCTTTTAAGGAATTATTCATATTTGCAAGGAATAATTAAAAGCAGACTGTCAACTCAAGATTTAAAAGGAGAAAAAAATCTTTAAAAGTATGTACAACAGCCATGAAAATCATCACTGATCCAGGTATAATGAAGGCTATAACGAATGCAAACAAGAAGTTATTAGACGTTGTTAGACAGGGTAACTATGATGACAACCAAACATTCACAAGAAAATTGATAAGCTGCAAATTTAGGAATTTCAGAAGTGATGCTGAAGTTTGCATTTGACTGTTTGGCCTTCTGAAGGCCAAGGCCAAGGCTGAAGCTAATTAGCAGGTTTTGGAAAATTCTGTGGCTGAATTTAAGCTGCTGTGCATCTCCACATTTGGAGGGAATAAGAACTGCCTTAGACAGTAGCATATCATTAGAATTAATAAAGGTAAGTCATTTGATAAGTGTGTGCCTGCCATTCAGAGTAAGCGTGAACAATGCTAACACAGGAACCCATCAAAGCCACTTGTAGGAGAGAACATTACCACACCCAGGTACACAGAGGCAAAGACTTGACATACTTTGGGACAAAAGGTCTTGGTTTCCATTGGTGCCACAAAGTAATTACCCAGGTAAACCTCAGGGTCTTAGCTTCTGCAGTGTGATTTACGACATTCTTAACATAAATGTTTTCTTAACATTATTTTCCTTATATGATGGAATAGACTTAAGTCATCAAAATCTAGCCGGATCTCCAAGTCAAATTTGGCAGGAGGAAAGGAAAGAATGGAAGGTAGTATTGTCTTAGGAGGATGAAAGATCCTATGACAACCTCTTTGAGGTTGAAAGAGATAAGGTTTCCAACCCACATTTACCTTCTTTCATAAATTTCCTCCATTTGACTAAGGAGAAAATGATCTAAAATAGCAATGTATGAAAAACTAGATATGTTGCAAACACATAATATTAAACACCACGGGGATTGTCTCTGTGTTGGAGAGCCTTGTTTCTATGATCTTATTGAATCACTAGTGTAAGCTGACCAGTAAATTCTGAGGTTGGAAATTCTCTACTGTCATGGAATCCTAAGTCCAGCCAGTTGGATGAAAGAAGCGGGAAAAGTGAGCTGGGTGGTAATAATTGGGGTTTGCAAAATATTTTCTATCCTACTACTGACAAAGCAGATGGGATAGATGAACCACAATATAGATGAGTATTTTAAAAATATTTTTCATCTTTTTTGAGGTACAATCAAATAAAAATTATAGTCAAGATATGCAGAATGATATTTTGAAATACATACACATTGTGAAATGAAGGATAGCTGCATTCAATCGAATTAATTTATCACTTACATTGTTATCTTTTTTCTGATAAGAATACATAAGATCTGCTTGGCACAGTGGCTCACGCCTGTAATCTCTGCACTTTGGGAAGTTGAGGTGGGCAGATCACCTGAGGTCAGGAGTTTGAGACCAGCCTGGCCAATGTGGCAAAACCCCATCTCTACTTTAAAAAAAAATTAGCTGGGCATGGTGGCGCATGCCTGTAAACACAGCTACTTGGGAGGCTGAGGCAGGAGAATCACTTTGAACCCAGGAGGCGGAGGTTGCAGTGAGCCAAGATCATGCCACTGCACTCCAGCCTTGGTGACAGAGCGAGATTCCATTTCAAAAAAAAAAAGATCTACTTTCAGCAAACTTCAAGTGTACATTATTAAGTATAGTAATAAAGCTGTACATTAGGTGTCCGAACTTACTCATTTTATGACTACATATTTGTACCCTTTAACCAAAGTCTCCTCATTCTTTACTCCCCTCACCCCTAGGACCCTTCTATTCTGTTTCTATGAGTTTAATTTTTAAAGAGTCTACATCCAAATAAATTCACGCAGTATTTGTCTTGCAGTGTCTGGCTTGTTTTACTTAATGTCTCTGGATTCATTCATATTGTCACAAATGGCAGGGTTTCCTTCTTTTTCAAGGCTGAAATAACATTCTATCATATATGTAATTTTAGATTGAGGCTGGTGCAATAAGCTCAGCTATATGGATAAAGCCCTTCAGTTATATCTTCTTGCAGGCATGTATATCAGGACAGTGAGCATCACTTGTGTCCTTACCAAGGTAGGGCAAAGGTATTAGTGTGAGCCATATCATTCTCTAGATATAACCAACTCCAGGTCTACTGCCATGGCTTCTGTCATATCTTAGTTGAAGACACTGGGGACCATGAATTTTCAAATGCCCTGTTAGCTCTTTAAGTGCTTGACAGAACTTTCAGAGGAGCAGTAGCTTTGGTTGCTGGCCTGGGTTGGAGCTGGGAAGCCTATGACGGCAGGTCTTTTCTTCAGGCCACAATTTATGGAGCTGAGCCTGAGCCAAAAGGCTGCATCTAGGATGGAAAATAATGAATAGCAAGACTGTCCAGTAGCGTTTTCATTCAAAGTCAATATTCAGAGACAGGAATCCAAGTATGAAGCCACAAATACTTATTGCATCCCTATGTGCTAGGTATACTAGACACTGGGGATATATAAGTGGACAAAACCTGACAAAAGTCAGTCTCTCACAGAGGGTATAGTAGACCTGAAGGGGTCTCTGAGCTGGACTTATAATCTCAGCTGCTTTGCATAGTACATTTGAGGCCCTGGGCATAGCACCTTGGGATTACAAGGTCTGATCGATGACTATGCCACATTTTCTCTTGCTCCTAGAAGTGTAAACCTGTTTTTCCCTCTGTTTTGAATACTTTTACCCATTCCCTTCCTCCATCACGGATACCAATTTCCTGGATAGCTCCTACTTATTCATTCTAAGTCATATGGTACTTCTGGGAAGTTGTTCCCAATTCCCAGGCCTAGGTAATGTGTCTATTCCAAGTGCTTCCACAGCACCCAATACTTACCATTGTTAACATATGAAACACATTGAATTATAATTTCCTGCTTGCTTTCTGTGTTGCCCATAAACCTGTAGCTCATTAAGGGCAGGGATTCTGTAATACTACCAATATTTCTCCAGACCCTAGTGCAGTGACCGGAACATGGACTCTAAAATATTTGTAGAATATGGGAGTAGTTGACAATATGTGGGAGAAGCAACCATTGATCAACCAATTGGGACAGAGAAATGTGTTGTACCAAATTATTCTAAGTTAACCAGGTGAAGTCTGTTTACCTATCTGTTTGTCTATTTTTATAGCCAAACTTGGAAGCCACAAAGTTTATTTGTAAGAAACATAAAGGATTGTTTCAGATGTATCTGATAATCTGGCAAATTGTATTTTCTAAATATGGCTTCACCAATATGTATCCCATCCCATATGCTTGTTAAAGAATATGACATTGACAATGTTGTCTCCTCGTTAAAACTGAATACACATTTGGAACTGCCTTGACCAATAGGACATGGTAAAAGTGATGCTGTGTGACTTTCAAGTCCAGGTTGTAATTAAGCAGTATGGATTCCTCTTTTTTCTCTTAGCTCGCTTACTTTTAGAACATAGCCACCAGGCTGTGTGGAAGCCCAGACCACGTGGTGAGTCCATGTGTGTGTATTCTGGCCCATAGCCCCAGCTCAGACCTCAGCTGACAGCTGGACTCAAATGATTTCAAAAAGCCTTCAGTAAGCAGCCTTTGGATGATTCTAGGCACAAGATTTTAAGCCTTCCAGCTGAGGTCCAGACGTAATGAAGTAGGGACAAGCTGCTCTGTGGTCCCAGTATGAATTCCTGACTCACTGATATCATGGAGATATAATAAATGACTATTGTTTTCAGCCACTACATTTTGGGGTGAATTTTATGCAGCAATAGCTAATAATACAAGCAGGAAAGTAATTTTCCCAGCTTTCATATTCGTGATGCTGGCTTTCTCACTGCAGTTAGAACATACTTCATAAACAGGTCAGTACTTGTTATAAACAAAACAAATTTGTATAAAAGAAGGGAATACTGTAGAAATGGTAATTTAAAAAAAGAAGTGACTGAAAGTTAATAATTAAAATATTAATGTAAATTAAAATTAAAGATTAAGAATAAAAGTTTAAAAATTTTAAAAAACTAGACTATAATAGAATTTAAAATCAAAGTTAGGACTGATATAAGTAAAATGAATTAAAAGTGTTAAAATGGGAAATCCACTCCCTGTTTCAGCATGTCCTTCCTTCATTCCTTCCTTCTTTTCTTCTTTCTTTTTTCCTTTCTTTCCTTCCTTCTGATACATAACTAATTTGCAAAAAATTCTGTCCTTATAAAAAAGAATTAAATACATGAAAAGATGCTCAATTTTACTTACAATTAAATACATTCAAATTAAAATTCTAATTATGTCTAAGTACATATATGCACACACTTATAATTAGTATATTTTATACCAAAGCCCACAATTTATTCAGATCTCCTTTGCTTTTGCCTAATGTCCTATTTCTGTTCCAGGAGTCCACATTACATTTAGTTGTCATATCTCCTTATGCGTCTCATACTATGGCACATTCTCAGACTTTCCTTGTTTTTGATGACCCTGACAGTTTTGAGTACTGTTTAGGTAATTTTAGAAAGTCTCACAATTGAGATTCGGTTGATGTTTTTCTTATGATTAAATTGAGGTTATGAGTTTTGGGGAAGAATACCGAAGTGGCAAAGTGCCATTCTCATCACATCACATCAATGGTAACATGGCTTATTCCTGCTGATATTAGGCTTGATAAGGGCTAATAAGACATTATGTTGGATGTCATAGATTATTGAAAGATTTCTCCACTGTAAAGTTATTTCCCTCCCCCCTTTCCACAATATACTCTTTGCAATGAAGTCACTGTGAGCCCACACTCACGGGAAGTTATACTCTACCTCCTTGAGAGCTGTATATCTATATCAATTTGAGTCTTTTTTTAAATTAAAAAGTCTAAGGATTTATTTAGTTGTATATATTATGTACAGCATGATGCTCTCATTTACTTAATCATTTATACTTATGAGTTCTTTGTTTCTTTCCTCCTCTCTTTAATTGAGCATTTAATATGATCCCATTTTATCTTTTTTAGCGTATCAATTATACTTTAAAAAAATTAGTGGCTGTCCTTGAGTTTACAATATACATTTTTAACTAATACATGTCTATTTTCAAATAAGCCTATAGCACATCACAGGTAGTACAAGTAATTTATGATGGACTATTCCCAATTCTACCCTACGATCCCTTGTGACATTGTTGTCATTCATTTCACTCAATACATCGTGACTATATTTTTAATAGTCAACTATTTTTTGGATTAATTAAATAAGAACAGTTTAAAAAATTATTCTGACTCTGTATGAGTCAAGATTCAACCAGAAAAAACAACAGTAGAAGACACAGAACTTTTTTGTAAGCAATTGGCTTATGCAAGAAGAGCTGGCTAGACAATCCCCAAATCTGTAGGACAAGCTGTCAGAAGGGGCAGGCTGGAACTCTGGCTGTTAAACCTGAAGCTGCAACTGCTGTCCACAGGTAGAATTTCCATTTTAGGAAAAGCTTGGCTCTGCTCTTAAGAATTTTTAACTGATTGGATTAAGCCCATTTGAATTATCTAGTATAACCTCCCTTACTTAAAGTCAACTGATTATAAACTTTGATCACTTCTGCAAAACACCTTCACAGCAGTACCTTATTTATTTTTTATTTTTCCATAAGTTCTTGTGGGTACAGGGATATTTGGTTACATGAGTAAGTTCTTTAGTGGCTATTTGTGAGATCCTGGTGCACCCATCACCCGAGCAGTATACACTACACCATATATGTTATCTTTTATCCCTCGCCCCCTCTCACTTTTCCCCCCAAATCCCCAAAGTCCGTGGTATCATTCTTATGCCTTTGTGTCCTCATTGCTTAGCTCCCATATATCAGTGAAAACATGCCATGTTTGGTTTTCCATCGTGAGTTACTTCACTTAGAATAATAGTCTCCAGTCTCATCCAGGTCATTGTAAAGGCTGTTAGTTCATTCTTTTTTTATGGCTGAGCAGTATTCCATCATATATATACACATATATATGATATATAATATGTTATTATATATAATATATAATACATAAAATATACATATATAAATATATATATAATACATAAAATATACATATATAAATATATATACATATATATGTGTATATATATATAATATCAGTTTCTTTATCCACTTGTTGATTGATGGCCATTTACCCTAAGATCAGTATTTGATTAAATAACTGTAGCTAGCTAAGTGGATGCATAAAACTGACCATCATGTCTTCATTTATTCCTTCTCTGATATTCTTCCTTTCTTAATGTAGATCCAAGCTTCTGACCAATGTTATTTTCCTTCTGCCTAAAGTTTTAAAAACATTTCTTAAAGGGAACTTCTCTTGGTGATGCTTTCCATGTTTTTTTTTTTTTTTTTTTTTGGTGACACTCTTAATTCTCTTTCAATTTTAATAATAATTTTGATGTACATAAAATTCTACGTTGGTGGGGATTTGTGCTTATTTAACCTTTTTTTTCTTATATGGTTTCTGGCAAGAAGTGTACTGTAATTCCTATTTTTGTCTGTCTAAAGGTAAGGTGTCCCCACATGCCCCACACCAGTCTGGCTTCTTTAAAGATTTTCTTTGTCTTTGATTTTCTGCAGTTTAAATATGACATGCCCAGGGATAGGTTTTGTTTGTTTGTATTTATTTTACTTGGTGTTTTCTGAACTTCCTAAATCTGTGGTGTGATGTCTGTCACTAATTTTGGAAAGTTCTTGGCCATTTTTATTTCCATTAAAAGATAAACTTAGGCACATTACAATTTTAAAGAGTTTATTTGAGCATTCAGCAATTCATGAGTTGGGCAGTGCAAGGCACAAATACTTCAGGGCTCCACTGAGGGGGCTCAAGGGGAAACTTCTGTTTCCAGAAGAAAGATTAAAAAAGAATTTGATTGGTTTTAAAATGGGAAGTCCTTAGAGGTTAGTTGGTGGTTTCTGATTGGTAAAGTCTCTAGTTAAAAGTCAGCTGGACGTTTCTGATTGGTTAAGCTTCAATTTTGCTTGACAGTTTTGTTTCTATGTTAGGGAAGTTTCTATTGATCTATCTTCAATTCCACTGATTCTTTCTTTAGCTGTGTCCAGTCTACTGATGAACTTATCAGGGGCATTATTTATTTCTGTTAGTGTTTTGATTTGTTAGTATTTCCATTTGATTCCATTTTTCTGCTTATCTAATCCATCTATTCTTGCATGTGGTCAACTTTTTCTATGGAGCCCTTAATAAACTAGTCATACTTAGTTACTTAAATTTTCTGCCTAATACTTTAAAAATACTTGTTTTATCTGAGTCAACTGGCTGTTTGGCACAATGTAGCCACTCAAATCTTAGTGAAAAGAGTAAATGAATGAATACCAAAATAAATAAGGAGTACAGAAAGCTCAATTATTGAGCTTCAAAGGCATAGACATTTTAAAAACACATTAAATATGTGCTTAGTGAAACAAGTTAAAAAATGAATGGTAACATACTGTGATAGGTTGAATGACGCCTCTCAACATATTCAGATCCTAATCTCTTAAAACTGTGAATGTTATCTCATGTGAAAAAAGACTTTTCAGAAGTGATTTGGTTAAGGACTTCGAGAAGGGGGAGTTATCCTGGATTATCCTGGTGGACCTTAAATGTAATCACAAGTGTTCTTACAGAAGGGAAGCAGAGGGAGATTTGGTACAAAGAAGGCAATGTGACCACTGGAGTAGGATTCTATGCTGCTGGTTTTGAAGATAAAAGATGGGGCCAGGATGCAAGAAATGCAGCTCTAGAAGCTGGAAAAGACAAGGAAATTAATCTTCCTCTAGCGCACTGTACTGCCAATACTTGGTTTGGTCTAGTGAAAAGATTTCCGACTTGTGACGTCCAGAGCCATGATGGAATAAATATCTGTTAGGCTACCGAATTTGTGTTAATTTATGACAGAGGTCATAGGGAACTCATACACACAGTGAAGTCCTTAACAGATATGTGAGTTGGCCCTGGCTTTCTATAGACTTGAAGGCCCCTGCTGGAATGGAAGCTGTCTTGGTGGTGGAACCCCACGTAAAGGGAGAGGATGGGATAGAATCCCCGAGGTGCCACCTCTTCTCAGTCATTGCCTCACTAACAATTTTAACTCCATGCCAGAACATCTATTTTAAGTGGAGTTTACCTGCCAACTAATGAGAGATTACTAGGCAAAAAAGAATGAGTCATGTCTCTCTGGCTGTATAACTTCAAAGTCTCCAAGGTTGGGCCTCTTGGCAAGCCACAGAACTGAATACTCAGCAAACATTTAGAATAAAATGAAAATTGTCTTAGATAAATTGGCCAAAAAAAAATCCTGAATATGAGCAAAATAGAAAAGGATAGATACCTTTGAAAGTATAAAAAAGGTTAAAGAGGCAAAAAACATGCCAGCATATATAGAATGCTACTAATTTGTTCAACTTTTTTTTAGAAATAAGAAACTAAAACAGATGTGTCTCCAAGTTGACTCGACATTTTTGAAGTATTTAGTTTCTCGAAATAGAAAAAACCTAAAGGAATAGAAAAAATCTAAGAAGTTAAACTGATAGAGCATAAATAAAATAATAAATTTTGAGAAAAAAAAAATCAGGTAAATATACCATTAAAGACATTAATAAGGAGTCCATATAAGTAATTCTTATATTTCAAAGACTGTAAATGTCTATAGTACATATCATTCTAAGTGCAACCTATGAAAGACCCCTATTTTATTTCAGTAAGTGACTAAAATACCTTCATCAAAAATACACTCTGTTGGACCACTAAATTCCTTTTGTAATATATACCCTAGCAATCTCAAGTCTGCCCCAGTGATGTACAATGTACAAATCATTACACACCATCCTTTCAAGTCAGTAAATATTCATTATCTACTATGTAGTGGACACTATTTGAAGTTTCTGTCTCCAAAGAGTTCCATGAATTTGAGGATTTGTGGACAGTATCTGATCTATCATCATTACTTATTAATTTTCACATTCTTATTATTACCTTAAAGCAAATGTGTCAAATTGAAAAGATGATACTGTTTTCAAAGGATGCCCCTGAGTAGGCTACTGAAAATATTTCACCAGCACAATTTGGTATTTTTTTTTGGGTGTGTATCCACATATTTCTTAACAGTCAGTATTAGGAGCAATTTTCATTCTCAAAAGTTTCCTCTCTTGTACTGAATAAAAATTTAAGGATAACTTAATTATTATATGAACATAATGGTTCCACATACCTTCCCCTTTATATTTTAGCTTTAAAAAATATTTATTAAATTTTATTTTAAAGTATATATATTAATTTTGTTTTTAGAGACAGGGTCTTGCTCTGTCACCCAGGCTGGAGTGCAGTAGCACAATCACAGCTCACTCTAACCTCAAACTCCTGGGCTCAAGCAATCTTCTTGCCTCAGCCTCCTTAGTAGCTGGGAACGGGCTCAGGCCACCATGCCTAGCTGATTTTTTTTTTTTTTTGTAGCAATGGGGTCTCACTATGTTGTCAAGACTGTTTTCAAACTCCTGGCCTCAAGCAATCCTCCTGCTTCAGCTTCCCAAAATGCTGAGATTACAGATGTAAGCAACTATGTTGGGCCTATTTTAGCTTTTATCTGATAAACATCCCTTATGTGTCAATTCATGCTGTTTTCTTTTTCTACTTATTAACTTTTACCACACTAGTTGATTTGTGCTAAAAATCACAAAGCTGGACCAAGATAAGGAATTCGTGTCACGTAAAAATGAGAGTGTAATGGGGATGGTGTGTCCTAATTATGTGAATTAATTGCAATGGCATCTGATTTTTTTCTGACTATGTAACTAGTTCATAGCAAGAAAGATTATAATTCAGAGTGTGTCACAATTGCTCAAGTGAAATTACATGTAATAAACTTCCTTGCCCCACTGTCCCTTCAGAATTTCAGTCCTAGCAGCCAGATCATTTTTGTTCCTGTGGAACTGGTAGGGACACAGCAGAGGCCCCTGGCATTTGGCAAGCTCAGGTAGAGGCTCGTGGTCAGGCCAGCTGTGCTGCTGGTCTTCTCTAACCTTGGCCTAGTTAATTGGGCTTTCATCTTTTAGTTTCAAGAAGTGAGCCTTGGTCTTACCTGTCCATATTATTTTACATCTGCGGATCCTGCTAGGATCCCAGTTCCTTCATGAATAAAGTTTCCCCGGATTCTTGATAATCTTCTCAGGTTTGGACTCCACTTCTGTCTGCAAAGTCCAGGTATCAGGACCAGATGGACTTTAGTTCTTTGGTATCTGACTTTTCTGCTTAGTTTCTTCCATTTTTTTTTTTTTAATCCCCATCTGGTACTAGAGCCACCCAAAGTCTTCCTGGAAATATTCTCTGTCTGCTAAGAATTGACTCTTGGCTGTTTATATCACTCACTCTTTGAGCAACTCTTGACTTTTGCCTACAGACTGTGGTTAAGGACCTTTCCTCACTACCTACTCTACCTATCCCATTGCCAAGCCTCAAGGACAACATCAACTGCTTTTTCTATATCCATAAGTAAATGACAAAGGAAACCTTGAAAAATATATTTATTGTTTTCTTTAACTTGGTATATTATTTTATAAAAGAAATGTATACTTGTATCAAACACATTATGTAGTAAAAAGTGAATGGCCCACCTTCTGTATCCTCTAATATCACCCCTTAAAGAAACCAGAGTTAACTATGTACCAGGAATAGTTAGTTATCAACCCCACTGCCTTGTTAGAATCAGCAGAATTTAAAAATGTTAGCTAGGTCAGGTGCAGTGACTCATGCCTGTAATCCCAGCACTTTGGGAGGCTGAGACTGGTGGATCACTTGAGGTCAGGAGTTTGAGAGCAGCCTGACCAACATGGTGAAACCTTGTGTCTACTAAAAATACAAAAAAATAAGCTGAGTGTGGTGGCGCATACCTGTAGTCCCTGCTACTCTGGAGGCTGAGACAAGAGAATCACTGGAACCCAGGAGGTGGAGGTTGCAGTGAGCAGAGATCACGCCACTGCATGCCAGCCTGAGTGACAGAGTGAGACTCCATCTCAAAAAATAATAATAACTAGTCTCTACTTGGTGGTATTTAACAACCAGTCATGTGAGGGTAGGGGAAAGAGGAAGGGTCTAGCTTGTAGCAATTGTTGATTACTCGTAACTACTCCCATTATGAACAATTTCAAGCAACAAACATGAAATTGTGAAGTTAACTGGCTGATTGAATTTCTGAAAATCTTACAATTGGTTCTTGTGAGCCTGGATGAGCCAGCTTTTGTAGACAACTGCCTCCAGCCCCATCTCATCCCATCCCATCCCACTGTAAATGAATCAGAATCTCTGGGGATCAGTTCAAGGTAAATCTGTCTAATATAGAGCTCTTGTAAGGTCATATTAGGAACCTGGGTTTGTAACTTGTCTCTGTCACTTAATATCTATGTAACTTTGGGAAACTTACTATGCCTTAATTTTCTCCGAGGATAACACGGTGATCTTAATTGTCCCTATTTCACAGGGTAATTACAAGATTAAATGAGTTGATGTAAGGCCCTTAGCTGTAAGGCCTGGCATGTTAGCTATTACTAGTCTGTCAGAGCTCAGTTTCTTCCTCATACCTGGGCTGCTTAAAGAAGACTACTTAAACCTGAATAGTAATTTTTGTGTATTGAGTTATTCAAAGCAGCTTAAGGATCTGTGTTGGAAAGAAGTTAAGATGAGCCTAGATTAAGAATTGAGACTGAAGACAAATAAGAATTCCGATTAAAATGAGAACTAAAATTCACAGGACATTGAATTTCTTTCCTTACTCCAGGCTGGGATGAAAAGGTTAGGGAACATTTGTTTAGCTTCAAACGCTTCCTATGGACTTACCCCAATACTGTGAACCTAGTTAAAAAATGCATGCTGCTTTGGCTGTGCACATCACACAAAGGGGCACATTCCTTTAAAGAAGCTCACCTCCACAGAGTAATAACAGGCTTGGGCTTTGAATACTGAAAACATAAACCAGCGCCTTGAAATTAATTTCTAAAAAAGAGCTTAAGGGCTCGGATCCACTTCTCATATCATTAAAATACCTGCTCTCTTAAGGAAACCTTGTCCGCTTCAACTCATAGAAATTTAGAGCTAGAAGGCACCTTAGAGATCATTCCTTATTCACTTAACAGGAAACAACCTGTTGCTAGCTAGATCTGGGGTTTAATAAGAAAATTCTGAACAAGCCTCTGGCATTTCCTCAAATGTTCATAGGCTCTCAATTTTTCCCTTCTCAACTGAGCCTTCTAATGGATTTTTCAACTTTTGCTGCAAGTCCTGTTAACCACACTTTGCCAGGTCACTCTAAACAAAGGAAGACCTAATAAACAAGAAGATAAAGGAACCGTAATGGAAGTTATTTCTAAGTAATAGCATTGGATCAGTTCAGAAATAAATCCCTTTGCAGCAACAAGTATTTGCAAACATACGTGGGATTCAACTCCAAAGCAAGTTGTGGTCAGTGTTAAGTGATAATGAAAGGTCTATCTTTTACAGATAATCCACATTCCCACAGCTCTTTGCTTCTGGAAAACTGTTTACAGTGGAAGAAGTAAGATACCAGTAAGATACAATTACTGTGGAGGCTGCCCCATAGAGTAGCAATTATGTTCCCAGCTTTGGGCATTTTCCTCTGTGGTTCAGAAATCTGGAATTTCATCTTCTAAAAACACGTTTTGAAATTTGACAGATGACATGAGATATCAAGGAGGAAAGAGAAAGGAGCCCGTATTTTTTTAAAGCTTTTTTCACACAAGACACAGTAAGTACTTGTTTCCATATGTTTTCCCATACAGCTTCATGACAACTGTAAAGTTAGGTTCCATAATGTGGTTGAGTCTTAGGATGAATGTTTACTGAAACAGTTTTGTGCATCTATATCTGACTCCAAACCTCTTAGTCAATCTTAGACCCATGCTGCTTATGGAAGTCAAGGACTAATGCAGTACTGTTATAAGGGCATTGACCTGTTTAGGTTTCTTTGTGTATTCTTCTAAAGCTCCACTGAGAGTAGAAACACTGTTACTCATCTTTACATCTATGACCAAGCATTGCCCCCTGGTGCATAGAGGAAAACTCTTGCTCTGCAATAACTAGAAAGATTTCAACATTAACATGTGATTATATAATTATAGGCCCTATCAGACTTTCCATGACTAGATTTTCAAATGCCTTGTAAATAGGAAATTAAGTAGGACTTAACATACTACTTCATTTTGGCACTTAGTAGTTGCTAAGTAAGCATTAGTTTTCGTCTCCCACCGAAAATGGCCCAGTAGTCCCATAGACAGTTGTTTTTGGATAAACATAGAAATTGACCTTTCTACTGTTAAAACTTGAAACTTGTATTTGTTTTATCTGAGTTCCTTCTTCAGGAAAGAACCTTCAGGCCTCTCAAAGTATCAAAGAACTGAAACTCACCAGGTCAGGGTACCAGATGTCACCTTGTTCCTCATTAGTTCCTGCTTTCTTACATGTTGTTAACATTTCTTCCTTGCTTTATAAACCCCTAGTTTTAGTCAGTCAGAGAGATGGATTTCAGGCTGAGCACCCATCTCAGCTGTAGCATCTGAATAAAGCCTTCTTGCTCGGCAGTACTGATTGTCTAAATGATTGGCTTTCTGTGCAGCGAGCAGCAGGACTTAGACTGAACCCGGTTCTCGAGTATACATGGAGGTTTAGGTTTACTACAATGGAAATAATTCAATGAGTGTCAAATTAAATGCCAATGCCTTAGGAATCAAATGTGCTAATGAAGATTGGTATCCGTCATTTAAGCACCACATATCATTTTCTTTATGAAAAAACTTACTGAATCTCAAATAATTTACAATGAACTTTTAGACCAACACTAGTCCATATATTATCTGAATATATATGATATATACTGAGTCCTATCTGTATAGGACTCATATTTAACTTCAAGCATTTTCGTTAAATATGCTGAAATGTTTCAAGAAGTTAAAAGTTTTCTGAGAAAATCCTAATTTTATTTTTTCTTCACTATTTAATATTCATAAGGTGATGTTTTCATGGTACAAGTTTACATAAGAAATCTTACCTATCGTGTTGAACAATTAGTAAGGTTTCAGTTGGGAAGCATACTGCAAGATAACAGTCTGAATGATGTCTGAAAACATTGCATCTTGTGTGGGAAGCAGGTCTGGTGAACTTGCCCTTAGATATACCTGATCTTAAATACATGGTCAAAAAACAGGTAGAAAGTTCCTGCCCAAAGATGTTTTAGTTTTAAAAAAGGCATGAGGTAACCAGTCAAGGGCCTAAAACAAGAAAGACTCAGCTTCTTCCACAGTAAGAACCTAGGTTGTGTGTTTCACAGGTCAGGCTGAAATAGGAGGTCTATAGATGGGAGGTCCCACCTCAGAGTTTCAGCTGGGGAGATTTTAGACCCACAGAGAAGCTAGAAAATATACACAGGGAAGGTTCCCACTGACACCCCTTTGAAGCTGCAGGGATTTCTTCACAGCATGTGAAGCTGGAAAACCTCTTTCTGTTAAATGCCCACACAGAATATTGGGACTTGGTGAACTCAGATGGAACCAGAGCGCTTACCTTTTTCTCCCCACTCAGTTCTCCCAGACAGAACTCTTGGTGTTCTAAGTGTGGGTTGAAGTGGCTAAATGTAGCCTCTGGATGATGAGAAAACTATAGATTTCCTTTTGGATGACCAAGATGTGGGAAGGAGCTATTGGAGTCATTCAAAACAAGAGCAAAACAAAAACAAAACTCCAACAAAAACCCCAAATCAGGAGAAAAGGAAGAAATCAACCAGCTGACCTTGAAAAACCCTGTGAAAATCCGCCTAGTCAGACTTCGTGATTCTATTTAAAATCTTGTTTCTGCCCTGTCTTAATAGGCTCAGACTCTTTTACTATCTTTTATTTCTGTTTTTTGGCAGGTTTCATATTTCTAAGCTTATGCTGTTGTTTGTGTTAATGTCTGTTATTGTTTGGGGGTGAACAGGAGTTGCTTTGGGGCTCCCTGAACACGTGGTGATTGATCCTGGTTCTAGATTCTAAAGTGAATTCCAGCAACCACATGAATGTTTAGAGATGAGAGTGAGAAACTAGAGTCTGTAAGAATGGGAGGAACTGGCTGGTGGCAACAGCCATGGGGAAGAGGTCTTGGGACAGGCAAAGAAGTTGGAGATTAGATTAGGTATACATACCTCAAGGCATGCCTAAGTGAGACAGATTTCCTAGCCTATGGAAAAGTTAAAAGTAGCTACCATGGCCTTCAGGTTCATGGAAGAAGGAAAAAGAAATAACAAAACCCAAGCAGAGTAGAGCATGCATACCTGATCAAATTAACCCCTTGGTTTCAATGCTAACCTACTTCTACCCCCACCCCCCAATACCATGATGTTTCAGTGTCTGCAACATGTGGGCACTGAAATATTTGTTGAAATAAAATGCTGCATTGGTGTGAGCATGTTGTTGAAATTGAGCTATAACCTCTGAAAGGAAAACCAAGACCTTGGATAAAGATAAGAGGAGAATATGATGTGACTTCTCACATGTCTTCTAAACATAACATGATTTTACTTATCTTCTTTTATAAACCTGGAGACTTTTCTCAGACTGTAATTGGATATTTTATTTAAGGTATGATTGGAAATGTAAGCTCCGAAGATGGAAATGTAGTGGGGAAATGTTGACAACGGGTACAAAGGAAGTCCCCAAAGTATTTATACAGCAGTTTATCAGGCATGGATGCTAAGTGTTTAGAAACAGATGGTGCCTGCAGCTGACTAAAATGTGTAGTCAATAAATTAAAAACCAGGTGGGGGTGGTATGGAAAGAGGTTTACAGGTGTCAGAAAAGCAAAAGGCATGCCAGATTTAATGGTGCTTGATTTTATTCTAGTTGGGTAATCTCCAGATTTCCTTGTTGGTGAAAACAGTTGGGCACCCTATATATTGGAATAGTAATATTAAACATTTCTCGATAATTATCAAACAGAGTTGATAGGATCACTGCAGTTATTTCTTTAGCTGTTGTGATAAGAACATTGATTTTTTCATTATCATAATTTTAGGATATAATACAGTTACTTCCTTTTCCCAGGAAAATAAAATACTATTTAAAAATTCAAGTCTAAGAACTGTATTGATGAAAGGATATTTATGTGCATTAAAAATTAATTTGAGTTTTTTAAAATAGCACATCTCCTTTGTGTATTTAAAGTGGCATTTCTATTGTATAAATATTCAGAAAGATCTTAATTTGTCCAGAAATGCTACAAATATTTGCTTGTGGCTTTTTCAAAGGATTTATATTACAGAGGTAGAATTATAGAGAGGAATGACTGCTTAGTAGCTATGAAATCTTAAACATATTTAACTGCTCTGATCTTATTTGTAAAAGGAGGGAGCTGAGATACACATTTCTAACATGGTTTCCAGTTATCTACCCTGTAGGTCTATAACTCTGCTACATATAAAACAAAGTTTTCCTAAATAACAAAATTCTCATTGTACTATTGTGCAAGCATATTTCTATCCACTAGAAAATTATCTAGCCAAAGAGAAGCTTAATTACCTGATTGTAACCCATTCTCCCCTTCCTCTGTTTGCTGTCTCTGTAGCAGTCATACTGTTGTGCAATGAGGAGAAACTAGCAGAGCTATTACAGAATTCTTCCAGGTTTTCTCTAGCTGCAACAGCACAGTTGGCAAGTAACAGTCGTTTAAAATGCTTCCTCCCACTCTACTCTCCAATTCAAACAACTTCATTTCTCCTAAAAGGAAAACAGCCAGTCAGCTTAAGAAAAAAAAACCTACTCCCTAACAAATTATGAGAACCAACATATATAGCAAAATATTTTATAATCATTTAACCAATCTAACAAAAGAATAAAAGTTTATGCATGACCAGAGCATGCTGTGCTCTTCATTTGCCCACTTACGGTGCCCACATGAGTATGGGTGTTCATTCTTTTTACTGACTATTTTTACTAGCTATGCAATATTTTTACTTCTCTAATTTTCAGAGGAGGAAATTTTTTTAGCACAATTTTAGTCCAACACGTACTCCTCTACAGTTCATGTGGTTTGTCAAAAAAGTTAATATTGCTGGAAAAAAGAAGAATGAATGCCAACACAAAAACATGGTTTTCAGCGTCTGGAGTACTGGCCCTCCTCTGTGTTCATTTGGCAAAGCCACTTTTTCTTCAGCACTCTGCTCCAAAGGTTTAGCTCCAGGTGGCTGGTTGCTTTTTGGTGTTTTAAAATGTACTTTTGCACACCTACCTCTAGGGATTCAGTATATATTACACATATATTACATTCAAAGATTATCTCACCCTACTTTAATTTTTTGATTTCCATCTCTGTCTCCTACATTTGTCTGAATTTGTATGGGGATTCAGTACCATGAGCAGGTGAATAAGTGAATTCTTTCCCATGAATGCAAGGGAAGGAAATAACTATGAGAAGGAATTTGCAGAGATTTTTTTCTCCCCCCAAGAATGAATGAGGACATGGTGCTAACAAGAGAGACAGAGAAGGAATAGAAAGAGGACAAAAGGAAATCCAGGAAAGAAGATTGATACAGAAGTTAGAGAAAGGGTTTATATTAGAATGTATGTCAAGTTAATAGGGTCAAATACCCATTTTCAGATGAGATCAGGTGTGTTAAGGGTGGAACAGCCATAGATGAGAAGTATATTTTCAATCAAGCATTCTATAAAAAGTACTTTAGTACAATAATTAAGAAATATGTGCTCATTGTAGTTGGTAAAACAATGCAAAGAGATGTACTTAAAAGATAATTTTTCCTCATTCCTCTATTCCAAGTTGTTCCAAACTAATATGCATATTGGATGTTAAAACTTCTATGACTTTCTCAGTGCTTATGCAAGCAAACAGATATACATATAGCGGTATTGTTTGCTCTTTTACAAAAATTTTATTGTAGTATACCCATTCATGGGCAGATTAGCAATACATCTTAGACATTTTGCAGAAGACTAGATATTGATCTAAGTCCTTTTCCTTTCCTTTCCTTTCTTTTCCTTTCTTTTCCCATTATTTTTCTCGTCCCTTTCTTTTCTTTTCGTTTGTTCAAGGGTTACATCTGTAGAATGGATACTCCACAATCTATCTATTTCTGTATCAATGATAATCATTTGTTTCTAGAGGTCTTTTCTTTTTCTTTTGTCTCTGCAAAAATGTTGCAATAGTCATCCCATTACACACAGGTGCTTTTGTTTCTATAGGGTGGATTTTGTGAAGTGAAATTGCTTGGTCAAAAGGTATGTATATTCTGAATGTTAACAATTACCAGATTTCTTAATGTTAGCTTATTATAAGAAGCTTAGGCAACTTGTAGTTCCAGAAATAAAATTGGAGCACCCATTTTCCTGTATCTTCATCAGTTCCAAATGTCATAAATCTTTTTGTTTTTGCTGATATGGGTGAAAAATGCTACTTTATTTTTATGTCTCTATGTACTAATGAGGCTAAGCATCTTTTCATATTTATTGACCAACTGAATTTTATCTTCTGTAAAAAAACATTTTGTCCATTTTCTTTCATTGTTTCATTTTTTTTCCAAATTGGAGGCATTCTTTTTGCTTACTAGATGTAGTGATCTTTTGTCATATGCAAATGTTTTCATAGTTAATCATTTTTATTTTGACTTTGTTTATAGTGATTTGCCATATAGTGTTTTAATTTTATGACGTCAAAATATGTCTCTTTTTAAATTTATGGCTTGAGACAATTCTTTTTCACATAGGAAGTTTTTCTCTGCCTCAAGACTGTGAAAACATCTTAATTTTCTAATTTTTATAAACTTATAAAATATTTTTGCTTTAAAATTTTATCCATCTGGGATTCATTTCGGCATATGGTGTGAGGTAGATGATCTAGCTTGTTTTCTTCTATACAGATAGCCAACTATGCCAGGATCATTTATTAATAAACCAGTTATTTCCCACTGAATCAAAATGCCATTTTTGTGAATTTATTTCTGAATTCTATTTTGTTCCATAAATCTACTTGTCTATTTTTGTGTTGGTGCCAGAGTGTTTTGATTAAAGTGACTTTGTAGTAAATTCAAATATCTCATAAGGTATACAATTCCCTTACCACTTTTCTTTGTTCATAATTTTCTATCATAGACACTTTTCAAATTTTTATTTGTATTTTTTTAACAAGAGAAAAGAACACAAGTTTATTTAATGTAAGTTTTGCATGACATGAGAGCCTTCATAAAGCAATGAAGACCCAAAGAAATGATGTACGGTTATTTTTTTTTTAATATTACTATTTCCCTTTTTTTTTAAATGTCAATTTTTAATTTCAAAGGATACATATGCAGGATTGTTACGTGGATGTATTGTGTGACACTGAGGGTACAAATGAGCCCATCACCCAGGTACTTAGTATAGTACTCAATAGGTAGCTTTTAAGCCCTTGCCTGCCTCCCCTCTAGCCCCCCTCTAGTAGATCACAATATCTGTTGTTCCCATCTTTATGTTCATGTGTACTCAATGCTTAGCTCCCACTTATAAGTGAGAACATGCAGTATTTGGTTTTAGGTTCCTGTATTAATTTGCTTAGGATAATGGCCTCCAGCTACATCCAGGAAATGATAATTTCATTCTTTTTTATGGTTGCATAGTATTCCATAGATAATTTTTAAATTTCATCAACTTTAATATAATTTTATGCATTTTTCTCAAAAACAACAGAATCATTATTGAAATTCTATTAAATTAAGAAATTAATATTGGTTGAATTGAATTTTTGACAAAAGCTTCTACTTTTTTTTCCCCCCGAGATGGAGTCTTGCTCTGTCACCCATGCTGGAGTGCAGTGGTGCAATCTCAGCTCACTACAACCTTTGCCTCCTGAGTTTAAGCAATTATCTTGCCTCAGCCTCCGGAGTAGCTAGGATTACAGGCGCACGCCACCACGCCCACCTAATTTTTGTATTTTTAGTAGAGACGGGGTTTCACCATGTTGGCTGGGCTGGTCTCCAACTCCTGACCTCGTGATCCACCTGTCTCAGCCTCCCAAAGTGCTAGGATTACAGGTGTGAGCCACTGTGCCCGGCCGCTTCTACTTGTTATAAGCATTGTTTGGACATTTGTGCATTCATTAGAATATTTTTGTTTCCTTAAATGATTTTCTGATACTAATTCCCCTCAATTTATTTTTTAAATTTAGTTTTAATTTTTATTATGAAGGACATTATACATACAAATCATAATTTTTAATTTTTGTCATTCTGGTGGGTTAATAGTGATACTGATTTGTGATCTTAGCTTGCCTTTCCTTGCTTACTATTGGGGTTGGGCAGTTTTCATAACTTTTTTGGCCAGGTTATAATCTTTTTTTTTGGTGAAATGACTGTTCAAGTCTATTGTATTGTCTCTTCAATATTGATTTATAGTAGCTCTGTAGTCTGTGTATGAGTCTTTTGCTGGTTATAAGTGTTGCAGATACTGTCTCCAATTCTGTAACTTGCTTCTTGTTCTTTTTTGTCAATATAGGTATTTCAATAGAGAGTCTTGATTTCACTATAATCTAGCTTATGAGTCTCTTAATTTTTTTTTTTTTTTTTTTTTTTTTTTTGAGACAGAGTCTCACTCTGTCACCCAGGCTGGAGCACAGTGGCATGATCTCTGCTTGCTGCAACCTCCGCCTCCTGATTTAAGCGATTCTCCTGCCTCAGCCTCCCAAGTAGCTGGGACTACAGGCATGTGCCACCACACCCAGCTAATTTTTGTATTTTTAGTAGAGACAGGGTTTCACCATGTTGGCCAGGCTGGTCTCGAACTCCTGACCTCAAGTGATCTACCTGCCTCGGCTTCCCAATGTGCTGGGATTACAGGTGTGAGCCACCGTGCCCGGCCTCATTCTTTTTCATTATCAACAGAACTTTTTACATTTTGTTGAAACTACTTCAAGGTCCCAAAGAATTATGCAAACATTCTTGTCTAGGAACTTTGGTGTTTCTCATTGAAATCTTCAATCTACCTAAAATTTATTTTTTAAATATTATGTAGGGACCCAGTTTCATTTTTTTTTTTCTCCCAATTAGCTATCTGGTTGACCTAGAATCACTTATTGAAGGACTCTCCTTTCCCCCAGTGCTCTGGACTTGTTAATTGGTTGTATTGGCCTACTTGTCTAAACTTCAGGCAATAACACACCATTTTAGTTGCTGTACCTGTGTATCTAGCTTTAAGTATTAATAATTCCACTTTGCTCTTCTTGGTTATTCTTGGTCTTTTGCCTTTTAATATGGTGTTTAGATTTCCAATTTCTACCAGGAAAAAGAAAACCCACACAAAAAACCAAACTGTAGAAACTTCCTTCTCTTTGCTGAGGGAACATTTGGAAGAAAACTTGCTTCTACCTTTCAGTCTCTTCTCAAAATAGAGGACACAATGTCCTTTAAAAATATGACTCAGGGCCGGGTGTGGTGGCTCATGCCTGTAATCTTAGCACTTTGGGAGGCTGAGTTGGGCAGATTGCCTGAGCTCAGGAGTTTGAGACCAGCCTGGGCAACACGGTGAAACCCTGTCTCTATTAAAATACAAAAAATTGGCCTGGTGTTGCAGCGTGCGCCTGTAGTCCCAGCTAGTCGGGAGGCTGAGGCAGGAGAATTACTTGAACCTGGGAGGCGGAGGTTTTGCAGTGAGCGGAAATCTTGCCACTACATTCCAGCCTGGGTAGAGTGAGACTCTGTCTCAAAAAACAAACAAAAAAAAGACTCAGATCATGTGATATACTTGACTTTATACCTTCTTTGATATTTACCATCCACTTTCCCTCTCCATTTCCTTACTTTTGTTTTCTTGGTAAAATTTTTCTTTTGTTTTTATTTGTCAGTTTGAAGGTTCTATTATACTTTTACATTTTCAAAAAATGTATAAACCCATGTAACCACTACCACAATAAAGATAGTGAACATTTCCATCACCCCAAAAAGCTCTTCATGTTTCTTTGCATTTCAGCTCCTGATTCCTGGGCCTTAGGCAACCACTAATTTGTTATCTGTCACTATAAGTTAGTTTTGTATACTATAAAGTTTTATATAAATAAAATCCTTTAGCGTATACTCTTTTGGTTCTAGTTTATTTTGCTTAGCATAATTATTTTGAGATGAGG
Organism: Homo sapiens; assembly: GCF_000001405.40. Taxonomy (NCBI): domain Eukaryota; kingdom Metazoa; phylum Chordata; class Mammalia; order Primates; family Hominidae; genus Homo; species Homo sapiens. The sequence continues at coordinate 76,658,639 of NC_000013.11, read as the reverse complement.
TTATCTTGTTACATGTATCAATAGTTCTTTCTCTTTAATTGTGGAGTGGTATCCCATCGTAAGTATACAACACAAATGGTTTATTTTTTAATCTTGATGAACATTTGAATTTCTCCATCTTTTGGCTATTATGAATAAAGATTCATGAATATTTATGTCAAACTTGTTTTTTTTTTTTTTTTTTTTTTTTTGAGACAGTCTCGCTCTGTCGCCCAGGCTGGAGTGCAGTGGCGAGATCTCGGCTCACTGCAAGCTCCACCTCCCGGGTTCACGCCATTCTCCTGCCTCAGCCTCCTGAGTAGCTGGGACTACAGGTGCCCGCCACCACACCCAGCTAATTTTTTGTATTTTTAGTAGGGATGGGGTTTCACCATGTTAGCCAGGATGGTCTCTATTTCCTGACCTCCTGATCCTCCTGCCTTGGCCTCTCAAAGTGCTGGGATTACAGGTGTGAGCCACCGTGCCTGGCCCACATACTTCTAAACAACCAGATCTTGTGAGAATTCTATCTTGAGACAGCACTTGGGGGGGATGGTACTAAACCATTGGAAACTGCCCCCAGGATCCCATCACCTCCCACCAGGCCCCGCCTCCAACCTGAGATTTGGACAGGAACACAAATCCAAGCCATATCAGTGGATGTTCCATTTGGAGTTGATTTTTGTATACAACGTGAAGTAGAGGTCAAAATTCATTTTTATCCCACACTGATACGAGTACTATTTGTTGAAAAAATAATTTTTTCCCCGATTACATTACCTTGGTCCTTTGTGAACAAACAAACAAAAAAACAACCAATGAAACAAACCCAAACTGAGCACATATATGTGGGATTCTCCATTGTGTTCCATTTATTTATATGTCTATATACAACTTCCACACTGTCTTGACAACTGTAGCTTTACATAGTAAGTCTTGAAATTAGGTTTTGTAGGTTGTTACTATGAGATTAAAGTACATACAGATAGATCATGGTAATGTTGGAATCATTTTGTTGGCCCCCTCAGGCATATATGTGGTTCACCTCATGGTCAGTTCAGTCGTGGACATTGTTACTGGCCACTAAGAGACTGACGTGTGGGTGGGCTAGTTCTGCTGGTGGCATTTCGTGCCTGGATACAGATGGTCATACATTCAATTTCTTTTATTGCAGCCGTTATCCCACTGGATTTTTGAATTTGGGAACTAAAATTCATATTTAAAAATGTTGTTTCTCAGTATCTAAAGGGATTAGATAGGATTTCTACTGCGGCAAATGCATTGACTTTGTAGCTATATTCTTCAACACCATCCAGAAAGATAGTGATACCAGGCAACATTTTGCCTACAAGCCTTATATAAATTTAAGTGTTCTCAACAATGACAGACAACCTTATTGCAAGCTGCCTTGCACACATTTTTTTCTGATTTGAAAAAAGCAGATTGTTAACATTAGATTTTGAAGACTAAATTATTTTTGTTTGTAGAACGTCTAGTTATCAAAATCATTTTTGATGTGTGGGCTCTTGCCTAAGTTTTCTCAAATAAGTGTGGTTGCCAATTTATATTTACTTCTGGTTCCCCTCTTGTGTTGTGGCATTTATGATTGGTTCCTTTCCAGATCTTCTAAGACCTAGACAAAATGAGGCACTTATATGTAGCTCTCATACAATGTAAGTAAGTGGGGGGAAAGAATTATACATTATTTGTTTACTAATTTCTGCCTATCTTCATTAGCTTGGCTTCTTAATTTTCATTAAACTCATCCTGATTTCATTAGGACTCTGACTATTTGCTTACCGAGATGCCTTATAATTTATATACAGATGGTTTTCTGTGAATCTATTATTTGTTAGAATGGTCTGTCTCTTTTAAATTAATTGCCATCTCACTGTTATGAGCGCCATCTGTGGAGTCAGGAGGTCTGGGTTTTTGACCCTGTTCTGCTTCTAACTAGCCATGGAACCTTGTCAAATCACTTCCTCTTTCTGGGATTCAGTTTCCTCGTTTGTTTGATGAGGAGATTGGTCTTGATGATCCTTGAGATCCTTCATAGCTTCAATATCTCAAGATTATAAATGAATTGAAGTTCTTCATTGGAAATTTCAGTCTCAATGGACTCCTGAAATGGATTATATGTGGCTGTTTCGTTTTTATGCCAAATTTGTTCTGATTGGGTATATCATACAGATTATGTCAAATAGGTTAAAGACTCCAAGGTCAGTACAAGTATAACAGCCAGCTTCATAGATGACAAATGATGCCTATGTTGTGTCAGTAAAGGAAGAAGAAATCCCTGCACTTGTATTAAAACACTGCCATTATATTTATTGTCTACCTAGAGTAAAACAGAAACTATTTTGTCACATTACTGTTTCCTAGACGAGAGTGTTTTGCAATGTGCTTTCTGAAACTGAGGAAATTATTTTTCTGGTTTCTGACAAGTCTTTCAATAGTCTTCTGTTGATTTAAGAAATCATTGCCTTAGAGCCAATAGCCCTCATATCCACTAGAGATCTTAATCTTACATTTTAGAACTCCTTTGGAGTAAGTTTTATGTAGGCAGAGTAACTGAGTTGTCACGCATCCTGCCAGTTTCACAAGCAAAATTGTCCATGATAGAGAAGAAAGTGTTTATAGCCTCCCAGTGTCTTCCTTTTAGATAAGAAGCTTTCAAATAAAATGTTTCCATGAGCCTCCTGGGAGGATCCTTTTTATAGAATGTCACAAATGAGAATAGTTGAAACTATACCTTCTTTGGTGAGGTGGGCACCCATTTTCAATTTGCTAACATGAACCCTTGGTTCCCTTTCTGTATGACTTTCATTTAAAACATCCTATATTTAAAAGAGAAAGAAAAGAAAAGCTCATCCTCTATAGCTACAGTCCCGTTTCTCTCCTCTCCTTGGGAACAAAATTTTTTGAAAATAGTTAATTTTTTTCACATCATTTTATATTCTCTCCACAACTCACTCTATTTGGACTTTTGTCCCCTCAACTAAACTGAGGTGATTACTCTCAAAATCATTAAATGACCTCTTGGTTGCCAATGCGGTGTTCATTTCTGTTTTTCTCTTTCTTGACTGCTTAGCATCATTCAACATTGGAGTGCTCCTGGGCCTATTCTTTTTTTGTCTATGTATTCTCTCCTGGTAATTTCATCCAGTTTTGTATTTTTGAGTACAACACACATGCCAATGACTCTGAAGTCTGTATTTTGAGTCCTGATAGTTCCCCAGAGTTCCAGACTTATATATCCAATACTTACTGGAAATGTCTACATAGATGTCTAACTGGCAATTTCAACTTAACAAAGCCAAAATAGAAATTTTATTCCTGCACACCTGAACTCCCGTGATTAGTCTTTCTCATTCTAGTAAATGACATCACTCTCCTTCTAGTTGCTCAAGTTAAAAATCTAGGAGTTATTCCTAAGCTTGTGATTTTTCTTTCTTGTTACATCTCGTTCCTTAATGAGTTCTGTTGATTATACTTCAAATACACTGACGGCCAGGTGCAGTGGCTCATGCCTGTAATCCCAGCACTTTGGGAGACCGAGGTGGGCAGATCACCTGAGGTCAGGAGTTTGAGACCAGCCTGGCCAACATGGTGAAACTCCGTCTCTACTAAAAATATAAAAATTAACCAGGTGTGGTAGTGCACACTTGTAATCCCAGCTACTTGGAAGGCTGCAGCAGGAGGATTGCTTGAGTTTGGGAGGTGGAGGTTGCAGCGAGCAGAGATTGTGCCACGGCACTCTAGCCTGGGTGACAGAGCAAGAATCTGTCTCCAAACAAATCAAAAAGCAAACAAAAAACCAAATGTACTGACTACATTGATTTGTCTTAATTTCCTTCTCTACTCCCCTAGTCCAAGTTTCCATAATTTTCATTTGACCTACTGTAATAGTCTCCTTATCTCCTTGCTTTTATTTTTGTCCTCTGAGTTGGTCTACTGTCTTTTTGTTATCTGATCTTCTGTTCAACTGAGCCAGGAACTAAATTTCCCACACTCTCTTGCCCTTCCAGATAGATTCAGCCAAAAAGGGCATTGGTGGAAGACTGCTACCTGTGATGTCTTGTATACCAGCTGCATTTTTTTTCTGTGGCTCTAGCACCTGCAAGACACTCCCACCTTCTGTAGACCTAAGTCTATTAGAAAGCCCTTGCCAAGATAATGCCAAGTGGATGACTCCAGCTTCCCGGCCCTGCTCACATATTACTTCCTTCCTCTTAGAAGTATTAGTTACTATCGTGAGTCTCAGGTTGCTTCATTATACCCTGTTTGAACTCTTAAATCTTCTATTGTATATCTGATTCCTAGTATTCTCCTTTGTTTAAAAGATGCAAAGTTATATCTTTTTTAAATTTAACTTTTATTTAAAGTTCAGGGGTACATGTACAGGTTTGTTATATAGGTAAACTCATGTCATGGAGATTTGGTATACAGATTATTTTACCACCCAGGTACTAAGCATAGTACCCCATAGGTCTTTTTTCTGATCTTCTCCCTCTTCCCACTCCCCACCCTCAAATAGGCCCCAGTGTCTGTTTTTTCCATCTTTGTGTCCATGAGTTCTCATCATTTAGCTCCCACTTATAAGTGAGAACATGTAGTATTTGTTTTTCTATTCTGCATTAGTTTGCTTACAGCAATGGCCTCTAGCTTTGTCCAAGTTGCCGCAAAAGACATGATCATATTCTTTTTATGACTGCATAGTATTCTACGGTGTATAAGTACACATTTTCTTTTTGAGACAGAGTCCCGCTCTGTTGCCCAGGCTGGAGTGCGGTGGCGTGATCTCAGCTCACTACAACCTTCACCTCCCAGGTTCATGCAATTCTCCTGCCTCAGCCTCCTGCATACCTGGAACTACCTGCGTCCCCCACCACACCTGGCTAACTTTTGTATTTTTGGTAGAGATGGGGTTTCACCATGTTGGCCAGGCTGGTCTCAAACTCCTGACCTCAGGTGATCTGCCCACCTCAGCCTCCCAAAGTGCTGGGATTACAGGCATAAGCCACTGCGCCCGGCCATGGACACATTTTCTTCATCCACGCTACCACTGAAGAGCACTTAGGTTGATTCCATGTCTTTGCTATTGTGAATAGTGCTGCAATGAACATATGTGCACATGTGTCTTTATGATAGAACAATTTATATTCCTTTGGGCATATGACCAATAATGGGATTGCTGGGCCAAATGGTAGTTATGATTTTAGTTCTTTGAGGAATTGCCACACTGCTTTCCACAATGGCTTAACTAATTTACACTCCTGCCTCCTGCCAGCAGTGTATAAGTGTTTCCTTTCCCTGACCTCACTGTCTGTTATTTTTTGACTTTTCAGTAATAGCCATTTTGACTGATGTGAGATGGTATGTCATCATGGTTTTGACTTGCATTTCTCTAATGATTAGTGATAAGCGTTTTTTCATATGCTTGTTGGCTGCATGTGTGTCTTTTTAAGATAAGTTTCTGTTCGTGTCTTTTGCCCACTTTTTAATGGGGTTGCTTGTTTTTGCTTGTGAATTTGTTTATATTCCTTATAGATTCTGGATGTTAGACCTTTCTCAGATGAATAATTTGCAAATATTTTCTCCCATTCTGTAGATTACCTGTTTACTCTGTTGATAGTTTCTTTTGCTGTGCAGATGCTCTTTAGTTTAATTAGATCCCATTTGTCAATTTTTGCTGTAGTTGCAACTGCTTTTGCCATCTTCATCATGAAATGTTTGCCAGTTCCTATGTCCAGAATGGTATTTACTAGGTTATCTTCCAGAGTTTCTATAGCTTTAGGTGTTTTACATTTAAGTCTTTAATCCATCTTGAGTGTTTTTTTTTTGTATAAAGAAGAGTGGTATAAGGAAGAGATCCAGTTTCAATCTTCTGCATATGGTTAACAATTTTTTTTTTTAATTTTAAGTTCTGGGATACATATGCAGAACGTGCAGGTTTGTTACATAGGTATACATGTTCCATGGTGATTTGCTGCACCTACTGACCCGTCCTCTAGGTTCCCTCCCCCGCCTCCCACCCTGCAACAGGCCCTGATGTGTGTTGTTCCCCTCTGTGTGTCCATATGTTCTGATTGTTTAACTCCCACTTATGAGTGAGAACATGTGTTGATTGGTTTTCTGTTCCTGTATTAGTTTGCTGAGGATGATGGCTTTCAGCTTCATCCATGTCCCTGCAAAGGACATGATCTCATTCCTTTTTATGGCTGCTAGCCATTCATCCCAGAAATCAAGCACACCATCAGACATAAAGCAATTCTCGGCAAATTAAACAAACAAAAGAGGCCAGGCGAGGTGGCTCATACCTGTAATCCCAGCACTTTGGGAAGCTAAGGCGGGCAGATCACCTCAGGTCGGGAGTTCGAGACCAGCCTGACCAACATGGAGAAACCCCGTCTCTACTAAATAAATAAATAAATAAATACAAAATTAGCTGGGTGTGGTGGCACACGCCTGTAATCCCAGCTACTCGGGAGGCTGATGCAGGAGAATTGCTTGAACCTGGGAGGCAGAGGTTGCAGTGAGCCAAGATCGTGCCATTGCACTCCAGCCTGGGCAACAAGAGCAAAATTTCATCTAAAAAATAAAGAAAAAGAAACCCCGTATTCTCAGACCACAGCACAATAAAAATAGAAATCAATACTAAGAAAATCACTCAACATCATCCAAGGACATGAAAATTAAACAACCTGCTCTTAAATGACTTTTGGGTAAATAATGAAATTAAGGAATAAATCAGGAAGTCACTTTGAAACTAATGAGAACAAAGATACAACATACCAGAGTCTCTGGGACACAGCTAAGGCAGTGTTAGGGGGGGAAATTTTTAGCACTAAAAGCCCTCATCAAAAGTTAGAAAGATCTCAAATTAACAACCTAACATCACACCTAGGAGAACTAGAGAAGCAAGTGCAATACATCCCCAAAGCTAGCAGAAGAGAAGAAATTTCTATTTCATTACTTGATCTTGATTGATATACCCATACACAATATATATTCCACATAGCAGCCAGAGAAATATATTTTAAAAAAATTACTTGGATCCTGTCACCTCCACTTCCCCTTTCCTTTCCCAAACTTAAATATTTTTACAAAGCTCTTATCTCAATGAGAGTAAAATCTAAGCTTCTTATATTGGCTTACAAAGCCCCACATGATCTAGTTCCATTTTGTCACTCTTGCCTCATTTACACCATGTTCCCTTTCGCCAATTGGTAAATCATATGGGAAGTAGATTATACTCCAGCTATGCTAGCCTTTGCTTTTTCTGGAAACAAACTAAGCTTGTTCTAGCTTCAGGACTTTTACACAAATTCTTCCCTTTACCTGGAGTACTCTTCTCTGTGATCCTCATACTGGGGCTCTTCTTATTCAGATCTGTTTTTTGAGAGAGTCTCGTTCTGTTCCCCAGACTGGAGTGCAGTGGCGTGATCTTGGCTCATTGTAACCTCCACCTCCCAGACTCAAGCGATTCTCCTGCCTCAGCCGCCCAGGTAGTTGGGATTACAGGCAAGTGCCACCATGCCTGGCTAATTTTTGTATTTTTAGTAGAGATGAGGTTTCACCATGTTGGCCAGGCTGGTCTCAAATTCCTGACATCAGGTGTTCTCCCTGCCTTGGCATCCCAGAGTGCTGGGATTTCAGACATGATCCACCGTGCCCCACCTAGATCTCAATTTTTAATATCAACTCTCCTATAAGACCTTTCATTACTCCATTACTCCCATTCTAAAATGATTACTCTTTAACCTCACACAGTAATCTATATTCTTTGCTTATCATTTGTTAATACAACATCATTTAAATTCCTTTCTCTGTCAATTTTATGATGTTTTCAAGGTGTTTTTTTTTTCTTTTGTCTCTATCCCTTGGGAAGGGATCTTGGTATTCTTATTTTAGTTCCTAGAATAATGTTTAGTACACAGAAACTATTAATATATATTTGAATGAATGCAAACCAGAGCCTAGTTAGGCAAGAGTTGGATGAATAAGCACCGAAATTTCTCTAATTCCTAAATTGAGTAGGAAATAATTACTTAGTGTTTTTAGAAGGTAAACTAAATGTTGACTGGGCGCGGTGGTTCACACCTGTAATCCCAGCACTTTGGGAGGCCAAGGGGGGTGGATAACGAGGTCAAGATTGAGACCCTCCTGGCCAAGATGGTGAAATTCCGTCTATACTAAAAATACAAAAATTAGCTGGGCATGGTGGCGCATGCCTGTAGTCCCAGCTACTTGAGAGGCTGAGGCAGGAGAATCGCTTGAACCCGGGAGGCAGAAGTTTCAGTGAGCCGAGATCGTGCCACTGCACTCCAGCCTGGTGACAGAGCGCGACTCTGTCTCAGAAAAGGTAAACTAAAAGTTAAAATGTTGAAGTACTAAGTAAAATGTATAAGAATATTTTAGTCTAATATGAAAGAAGATAAAATACTAGGGTCAAGTTTACATCTGTTTGCATGCTGAGCCATGAGCATACTCTTAGGCTCTTCATACGTGAGTGGAAAAGAGGTTAAACAGAGTGACTGCCACTTTCATCTGAGAATTCTACTTCTGATAATGGCTGACAAAATAATTCGGTGCAACCCTACCATTGAGAATAGTTAGAAAACTTGGAAAGAAAATAAAAACATCTGTTTGACAGGATTGGTGAGCTCACAAGGCAGTAAAGAATTATGGGGTCAAGATCTAGAATAAGAAGACATCCAGACGGGTAAGCTCAGCACTCAGATCACTTTCCCAGTCAAGGATATCTGTTGATTCCAAGGGAGGCAGCAGAGAGTCTGAGAAACAGCAGAACTTTTGATAGCTCCGTGGACCAAAAGGACAAAACTGTCATCAAAGTAAGGGTGAATAAGAAATAGTCTGAAAATGTATTTATATGTAGGATATATAAAGAGCTACAAATCAATAAAGACAGCGAAATAGAAAGCAAAAGACTTGAACAGTTACTTCACCAAAGAGAATGTTCAAAATGAGTAATATTACCCAACCACCAGGAAGGGTAAAATCAAGGAGAATGAGAATACCAAGTGTTGGTGAGGACATGGAGGGAAAGGAACTCCCATATGGCTGGTGGAACTGTAAATTGATACAACTTTGGGACAAAGTTTAGCATTATCTTTCAAAATTGAAGTCATGCAATTCCAAAAGGTAGATATGCATGTGCCTGTATGTGAAGAGATAGGCACAAAAATATTTATACCAATATTATGTGTTACTTCAAATATTTCTTCTGCTTCTTTCTCTCTCCTTCTTTTAGGATTCCAGTTATGTGTAAGTTACACCTTTTTATATCGCTTCATAGTCCTTGGATATTTTCCTGTGTTTTCATTATATTGATATATCTGAAAGCTAACTGATTCTTTCACTGGCCATGTCCAGTGACTGATGAGTCCATTGAAGGCATCCTTCATTTCTGTTAGTGTTTTTGACTTGTAGCATTTCCTTTTAATTCTTTATTAGAGTTTCCATCCCTCTGATTATATTACCTATTTGTTCTTTCATATTGTCTACTTTTTTCTATCAGAGCCCTTAAATAGTTACTTTAAATTCTCTATATGATAATTTTAACATCTGTGTCATATCTCTGTCTGGTTCTGACAATTGCTTTGTTTCTACAGATTTTTTTTTCTTACCATTTTTTGTGCCTTGTAATTTTATGTATTTATTTATTTTTGAGATGGAGTCTCGCTCTGTCACCAGGCTGGAGTGCAGTGGCATGATCTCAGCTCACTGCAACTCCACCTCCTGGGTTCACACCAATCTCCTGCCTCAGCCTCCCGAGTAGCTGGGACTACAGGCGCCCGCCACCATGCCTGGCTAATTTTTTGTATTTTTAGTAGAGACGGGATTTCACCGTGTTAGCCAGGATGGTCTCAATCTCCTGACCTTGTGATCCACCCTCATCGGACTCCCAAAGTGCTGGGATTACAGGCGTGGGCCACCGTGCCCGGCTGAGTCATACACATTTTTTTAAAATAGAGATCACTAGGAAGATAATCTTATCTACCATATACAGTAAAGTTTTGGTTAAACACTGAACTTTCTGATTGAATACTTGATATCTACCTGTAAAATCAAAGCCTACACCTTAGAAAATCAGTAGTCCTTCCATTAACAGGACACTATATATATTCTGAGTCCCTGGGAGAACCAGCTTGGATTCCCTGGTCATGCACCAGTATGGAGTAGTAGTGTTTGACAAGCTTCTCCTGCCTGATGACCCACAAAGGTGGCTGGTTCTCTTCCCAACTATCCCATTGAGGAGGGCTTTTTGATCAGAGGCAGATCCTTGGGCCCTGAGCCCGCAGAATTTATGATCATGAGTGAGTATTGTGGTTCTCATAGAGAATGATGCATTGTTCAATGTAGGGAAAATGTTTAGCAGAGATTCATGAGGAAGAAGGAGAGGGCATTGTTGTTGAGTGCTAGAAAACACATAGAAAGAAGAACAATCTATATTTAGAGAGAAAATGAAAAGATTGGAGATCAAAAGCGACCTCAGAAGGGCTATCTTTCTCAGAAAAAGCCCACTCTGTTTACTATAGGAGCTTACATGGCTGCAGGGAAACCTCAAATCCTTCTTAGAAAGGTAGGATAGAGTTACAGTGAGGTCTGGGGATATGCGAGACAATGCTCAGACCTCAGCATTTTGGTTCAAAATAAACAAGGTGACTCATAACAAATTGCTTTGATTAAAACATTATATTTGGCAAATGAAGCAGCTGTGCAAGTGGTAGGCCATTTAAGGAGAACTAGTTTCCTAATGTATTAGCCATAGACGTGTTACTTCTGTGTAATCCAGAGTCATCATTAGGGTTTCATTCACAAAGCTATTTTGGACACCTTGGAGCTATCTAAAGTCCTCCTGGTACTTGAACCACATAGTTCCTTCCGACTTGTCATGATGGAACCCCTGAAGAATTTGGGAGCCTTTTCCGTGTCTATACTTGGATTTGCTGGGAGTGAGTAATAGCAACATTTCAACCAAACAGAAGTCCTTTAAGGAAGTTAAGAAAAAATACCCTAAGGCAAGGAAGGACCAGTGGATCTTACTCCTGTCTCAAGAGCAAAAAGAAGTGTGGTCTGAGGAGGGAATGTCAAGGGGACTTAGAACAAAGCGTATTTGAACAAGTTCTTTAAAGACCAATAGCATCAGCATCATAGGCGGAACTTCTTGGAATGTCCTTCAAGATCTCACCTCCACAATGCCTGGAATCTGTGGATGTGATGAGATAACACTTCTTTGATGTGTTATGTTATATGGTGTACCAGTTTTCTAGGGCTGCTGTAACAAAGCACCACAAACTAGATGGCTTCAAACAACAGAAATGTATTGCTTTATAGTTCTGGAGGCAAGATATCTGAAATCAAGGTGTCGGCAGGGCCATGCTCCCTCTGAGAATCTGGGTAGAATCCTTCCTTGCCTCTTCCTAGCTTCTGATGCTGGCAGGCAGTACTTGGCATTCCCGGGCTTGCAGTCACAGCAGTCCAGTCACTTCCTCTGTCTTTACATGGGGTTCTTGCTGGGTATCTTCACATCATCTTCCCTCTCTGTGTGTCTCTGTGTCCAAATTTCCACTTTTTATAAGGACATCTGTTATATTGGATTAGAGCCCACCCTTATGACATCATTTTCAATTAGGTTCCTCCTTAAAGACCCAATTACCAAATGAAGTCACATTGAGAAGTACTGGGAGTTAGAACTTGAACAAATATTTTTTGGGGGGACACAATTCAGCCCATAGCATATGACACAGTTGACCTTAAAAAGGGAGATTATCCAGGTGGACCTAATATGATCACATGAGCCTTTAAGGACAGAAACTTCTCTGGCTGGTAGCAAAAGAGGAAGCCAGAGCGATTTGACATATGAGTGGGATTGGATGTGTGTGCTGTTTGTTGGCTTGAAGATGGAGAGGCCATGAGCCAAGGAATATGGGCAGCCTCTAGGAGATGAGGATGGACTTTGGTTGGCAGCCAGCAAGGAAAGGGACCCCAGACCCACAGCTACAAGGAAATGAGGTCTGCAAACAACATGAATGATTTTGAGAGTGAATTCTTCTTCTGAGCCTTCAGATAAGAGTCCAGCCCAAACAACTTGATTTCTACCTCTGCAGAAAACTCAGTTGAGTCCATGTGGGCTTTTGGCTTTGACATAATTAATAAATGTTGTTTTAAGTCACTAAGTTTGTGGCAATTTTAAATATAGCAGTAGGAAATGACTACGGAAAGGTATAGAGTGAGTAGCCTCTTCTCCAGAGTTGATACTAAGGATTCAAAACCCTATAAGAGCTGCTGACACAAACAGATTTGGGGACAGACTATGACTAACAGTAGAAACAGATTCTGACAGGTGCTGAGAGCTAAGAAACAATTCAAGAATTTTCTGTGCTGTTAATGGGCACCTGAAGCCACCCTTGAGCCTAGCTAAAGGCTGCTTCCCGGTGGTGCCAGAATAAACATATGGACAGGAGCTGTCATTGAAGCAATGGATATTGGCTGAAGAAATATTTTTAATTGGAAACTTCTAGCTTCTTATATTGTTATTCCTAGAAATGGGGGATTGCCACAGATTAAATATAACTCCTGACAACCAAGCTGGAGTTTAGGGCAAAATTCAGGAGTCAGTGGGGGAATTTGAGTGTCAGTTAGGAATAAGAGAAGAAGCTCTATCACAGGAACTAGGCACACACAGTAAGGCTGAAACATAAGCCTGTAATTTGGGGGAGAAGAGATCCTTAGGGGCTTACTTGGGATTAGCTGGATAACATCCAGGGTGCGGCCAGACTAAGGGTAGGGCTAAAGCTCCTATACGTGGCAGGGCTCATTCATCAGCTATGGGCTAGGGTTGAGACCAGCAGCTTGGAAATATTCAATATTCACCCTTATGCAGGAGCTTGAACATGTTGGAGCTGACCTGAGGTGGTTAGAGGCCCAGAAATCCTGAATAAAATAATATATTACTGCAGGATTTTAAAATCAAACCTGATACTCATATTCTCAGCTTTATAGGGAAAGATTTGGGCCTGGAGAAAGAATACGTATGTGCTTATTTCCTTCATCTTGTTTCTAAATCAGTATTTTCCCAGAATTTTGTGTATTTGTCAGTTACTTAGTAAAATAAAATCTAGAATGAGTAACTGCTTAAATAAAAAGTGAAGGTTATATACTCTATTGTGAAATAGAATTTGCCTTTTAATTTATACTCCGTTTAAAATTATGTACCAGTAACTCATGCAGTAAACATGATGTGAGGGAAATAACCTGCTAAGAACTGCTTCATCTCAGCTTCTATAATTCTTTCCCTTTGGCTGGAGTCATCGGTACCCTCAGTACAGGGATCCTGGGCTCAGCACCTGGGCACAGCCTGACCAAGTTGGGTTTAAGGGCTTCTGGGTCAGCATCAAGTCACTCTTGCTGCTCAGCTGGCCTTGTTCTTGGTCACCCAGAATCTGCACCTAGACTCTGCACCAGCCCATCTCACTAGGCAAGTTTAGGTCCTGTGTCTTCCCCATCCAGCTGCAATCATTCAACCCAGCCTGTGTTCTTCCTGGGAATCTGGCCAGGCTGTGGTGACTTCTCTTTACTCTGAATCTCTGTAGTCCTCAGTATCTGTAGTTATTCAACACCTAGCATAAGTTGACGTGTGTGTGTGTGTGTATATATAAAAAATAAAAAATATATATGTATATATGTGTATATATTTATGTGTATATATTTGATATATATGTGTATATATATTTAATATATATGTGTATATATAATATATATATGTATGTGTATATATTAATCTAAACCCATGACATTTTAGAGCCATAAGAGATTTAAGCAAGCATATGTAAGCTAATCTCCTCATTTTCAGAATATGAAATTGACCTAGAGAGATGAACTATTCGGCTAAAATCATATCAAGGAAAGAGCCAGGACTAGAATTGTATCAATCTCCTGGCCTGCTATTCTTGTTGCACAGTGATGCCATAGTGATTTTGTAAGTGTCAGTTCCCCAAGGTTCAAGAACTTATCTTTGTTTCCTTTCAGGATACCTGTCTCTACCGTAGATAGTACATGTTGATGTCATTGGTGAGAAAGCTCACAGATGGGCATCTTAACCATTAAAGGTCATAATGATTATGACTACCCTTCTTTACAACAGTGAAGATTGATATCAGTTACACAAATTATTGTTACCTTTACTGACTTGGTATAGATACTGTCCACACTTTAGCTTTTCTGCAAGTAAAATGGGAACCAATCCTATAGTAAAATCCCATATAAGTAGTGAGTTTGACAGAAGAATAGTACTAACCAAAATATATTTCTTTAAACATAGCAGAGATACCTAAAATATTACATATCAATCAATTTTATCTTCAATTTTATTGAGAAGGAAGGCATGCTTGAACTTGAAAGACTAAAGTAAGTACTAGAGATTTGCAGATAGGGTAGAATTTTTTATTAGACTGACTCTGAGGCATTTTGACCACACGTTTGCTGATGAACATCATACAAAACAATAATGTGCATGTCAAATGTTTCCTCAACATGTCAGTAATGTAAAACATACACTGTTATTTGCTATAGTCTGGTAATCAGACTTAATAATAAATTAAGTAAAACTATATTTTATTGTCATATTTCAAATTGCTGGTGTTCATTGATTAGATAAGTTATTTCCTGGGTGTGATTGTTCAAGATAAAAAAGTAATCGTTGACATGCATATTTACTTAAAGGCATTTGTGTTACCTGGGCATGAACTGAATAATTTTCTGGTAAGTCATTAGTGCCTGTTCTGCATGAAGGAACAGAATTTCAATCAAGTCTTTTCCTTTAACCTTTTAAAGATGACTATTGTACCACAGGTTACTATAGGAAACATATTAAGGACTTGTCCAACATACTTCACTGAATTTGGCAAACTGCATTCAGACGTTAACATACTTATTTGTGATATTTCTGCTGATTCATCCGTTGGGTCATAGAAGGAAAGACTGAAGAAAGTTGCGATAAGCAGTAATCAAAAAGTAATAGGATGGGGCCAGGTGCAGTGGCTCATGCCTGTAATCCCAGCACTTTGAGGGGCCGAGGCAGGCAGATCATGAGGTCAGGAGTTCGAGACCAGCCTGGCTAATATGATGAAACCCCATTTCTACTAAAAATATAAAAATTAGCCGGGCATGGTGGTGGATGCCTGTAATCCCAGCTACTCGGGAGGCTGAGGCAGGAGAATCACTTGAACCCGGGAGGTGGAGGTTGCAGTGAGCCCAGACTGCACCATTGCACTCCAGCCTGGGCGACATAGCAAGACTTTATCTCAAAAAAGAAAAGTAACAGCATGGATCAATTCTGGTGTTTGATAGGAGTAGAATATAATCTGTGGAATGTCCTTCAAGGTCCTTGGTGTGTCTAGTGTAGAGTTTGGAGTCACAGGCTTGAGGACCATGGAGGAGATTCTGGCACAGATTTCTCGGAATTCAGACAACGCATGAGCAGTCATCAGAAGTAGTGATGACTACTCCCCAACTCAGCTCCCAACAAGAAAACCTCATCCACTGGCGACTTTGGCAGTGATGCCGGGCAGGAGGTTTTCTCTCTACTGATGTTCAATCTATTCTAAACCAATGCAATTTAAAAATTTTTTTCTGGAATTAGCATAATCACTATATCATTTTTATGGTATGTTAATTTTTATGTAAGAAAGGGCAAAAATAAAAAGAATACACTTAAATGTGATGGTATTTGATTTGAAAATATCTGGTGGGTACATAGGAAATGAGTAAAGTTGTGGGGGACTAGAGAATAAGATATAAGGAGACGGTGGGAGTAAGCATTTCTTGATATACTTTTTATATAGCTTGGTTTTTAATGATTTAAAAAATTACATGATTGTAAATAAATTACTCAGAAAATAACTCTCATTTAAAAATAGGCATTGTTAAAAATAAGCACATGACTTTCTCGGGGTAAAACAATTGTTGAAATGTGCCAATTCTCAACAGCTGACTCTCAATACCCTCTTTTCTTCCTTTCTCGCCACTCTCAAAGCTGGGGCAGAAAATATGGACAAAGTCTCTGCGATCTGACAGAGCCCCCTCTCTTACCACCTAGGTCATTTAAAGTCAGCTTCTGAGTAGAATTAAACAACCTGCAGGGAGCATCAGCAGTCTCTTAGAAAGTATATGCCCTTTGAGTTCTGTGGCCAGTAAACATAGCCAGAGTCAGGCTGCTTCCCAGACCAGACTATGCAGGCAGAATCTTCTCTTACCCCTGGCCAGGGAGGCTGTGAAGCAGCTTTTCCTTGAAGCCATGCAGGGCTTGGTATTACGTGCAGCATAATGCCAGGAAAATAAAACCTGAAGCATAAACATTTTTTGAAAATAGACTGCAATCGTACATAATGAACAACGAAAGAACCTGGATTTCCTTTTAAGGAGGACAAACGTTTTTAAGTTTTCTTTTTTTAGGTTGCCCATATGAGAAATGTCTTGTTTAATTTATAAATTTGGTAGAGCTATAAAATGACATGACATACCAAATTGTAAATTAAACTCTACTGTTCTAGACGAAAAGAAGTTTGTGGACTGAAAGTGACCCATTTAAAGGATGTTGCTTGAACTAGTTCCTGGAAATCTTCCGAGGCTCCTGTTTGGGCCCTCTCTTGGCAAAAATATTGCCGGGATTTTCCTCTCAAGTTGTTTTCCTACCATAGAAAGCCCTTCTTCTCATCCTTAATTCCTTTCCAATAAGGTGAATGTTTACTTCTGCTCATGGTTGACCTCCCTTTTTTCCACTCTCATTGCATTTATGGACAGTTTCCCACTGCTTCATACTTTGCTGATAATCTAATCATTCCATCTTTGTTAGTTTTCCTTCCCAAGTTAAGCCTATATTCTTACAAACAGGGACTTCACTCTTACAGTTTTTATTTTCCTTACATTAGAGGTTATCAAACAGCAGATTCATCTACTGCTCAACTTATTTAAGTTATTAAAATTTGACACAAATTTTTAGAAGTCCAAACATGTACTTTAAAAAGAAAGCCATGGAGACACTAAGATTGTTTGATAGGATGGCAGGTGGAGCATGACATAGAAAAATTGGCAAACCACAACTTTGCAGTACCTAGCACACCTAACTGGGCACAAACTGGAATGCGGTGTTCAATTGGTAACTTGTTTGTGACAGTCCTGGTTGTTTTACTTTCTAAATATAATTTATTAATTGTCTTGCAAAAAAAAAAAACTTCTGTTAACTTAGTTTTTTCCTTCAAAATGAAAGGAGAAACAAAAATTTCCAACTAAACCTTGCTTGAAAGGCTTTGTGGAGGAGGCCAATATAGTCTATGATGCTAAATAGAATAATTGGTAACAGATGGCCAGCTAAGCTCTACCAGCTGTAATCGTAAAGACAAAGAGAACTTTCATGGTCAAGATTAGGGTCTTGAGCATACTTTTGATGTGAATGGAAGCTTTGTGAGGCTATGAAATAAGAATACAGTGGAATACCATACCAACAGAATGATCCTAAATGCTGAGAAAACTAAAAACTACACTCATTTTTTAATTTAAAAAAGTACCTTATATTCCTTATAATAAATCCTTCCTTTATTTTCTACTTTTTATTTATAGATGAAAGAATTTACATAATTAGGGAGAAGAACCACTTTCTTTACTAATTATAAGGTGATTGATGGCCAGAGTTAAAGCAAAATTATCTGGGGAAGCATAATTTGTTCTTAAAGTAATGACATGTGGTGTGTAGATTATTCTGTAATGTTTCCTTGGAAAGAGTAAATTACTTCATAAGTTTATTTTGATGCAATATTTACTTCTGAAAGCCATGTTATGGATGATGAAGTTAAAGATTAAAATTGATAGATACTTGATTTACCAAATTACATAATCACAGAGTTGGAAGAAATTTTTAAAAAGTACTTTAAGTACATTAAAAAAATGTACCTGATGGTATCTAATGTACCATCAGACAGATGGATGTTTACTCCATGTTTTCAGATACAGTAGAAGTATCTGTAAGGACTTTGAAGTTTTCCAGTATCTGACAAGAGCTGTGGTTTCAGTGTTACTAGTATTTATGCTGCAACTATCCCTGAATTTGATATTTCTTCCTCCCACACTTAGTATTGATGTGGGAGAAAGTCAAAAGGAAAAATGGCTGTGCTTATCTTCCTATTAAAGATAGTGCTCTATCTCTTTCCTTCAGTTTATTGAAACTCTTTTTAGAGTATAATATATATAACCACAATATATATTGTGGTTCCTTGAAATGTCATAATATTAAATAATAGCAGCAAATAGTCACATAGAGCTTGTGTCAGGTGGTGGTATCAGTACTTTAAATATGGTAACTCACAGGATCCTCATGCCAACTCTCTGAAATAGGCACTATCATAATCTCCATTTTACAGATGAGGCACTAAGGCAGAGGTAGAGTAAAGAACTGGCCCAGGTTGGCACAGCTAGCAAGGATGTGGCAGGATGCAAACCCAGGCAGTTCTGCTCCACAGTTAACTATGCTGCATCCTACTCAAGTTTTCCTCTATCTCTAAATTCTCCTGTCTAGTAATTTTTTTTCAGTTCTTCTGTTGCTTACGGTCTTGGTATTTCTTCAAACTGTTGATTCTACTTTTTGGATACCCCATTGGCTTCTGTGACTGGGAAGTCTGGTTCTCCTGTTTGTCTGTTTTCTTGAGTGGATTTTGTTATGCTGCTTACATTTTTGTGCCCTATTTTTGTATGTTAAGCCTCTGTCCTCATTCTTATTTATTTTTTTCTACTCTTATTCCTTTGGAAATCTTTTCATCAATCACAGCTTTATTTTAATGGTTCTCATGTATCAGTCACCATTTCCAACCTCTGCCTGGGCTATTTGCTGCATATATCTTTTCTGAAATATTTCATAGATACTTTAAAGACCACAGGGCCCTGAACCAATTATCCCCACCATGCTTTGCTGCCTCCCAGATCTGCCCCTCACCCTGTCTATATCTCACTTCACTTAATGGTACCACCTTCCTTCCACCCATTTGGACTAGGCATTATGGAAGCTCTCCTCAAAAGTTCTGTTCCCCATTACTTCCTGGAGACTGTCAGTCATAAGGAATTCTAGAGAGCAGTAACAGTTTTAGAAAGGGGTAGGGATGTGCATGTTCTTGGCATGTTAGTGGAATGGTGAGTAACCTGGAGAGTTAAAGGATAAAGCAAGGAAAGAAGGGATTGGAAGAGGTTGATTAGTTAAAGTTTATATTTGGTGTTATTTGGTGACCTTTGAAGGGAAGTGTTTGTTCTGAGAGGCCAACGTGTCATTGGCTTTTCATCAATAGGCTTCTTGTCTTTAAGGCCACCTAACCTTGGTAAATATATTTAAGTGAGACAGGATATTCAGTTTTCATTCCCACAGCTCCAAGACCTCAGCATTATCAGTACTTCTAGACACATCACGATCTCAGAGATGAACTGACACCAGTCACAACACCATCGGTCAGTCATGGAAACTAGAAGCAGAAATTAAAGCTCTGGGAGGAAGGCATTCCTTTCTGGTGATTCTTGGGAAGCCAGTCCAGTCACCAGAGTACCTCGTGAGTCTGAAGAGAGAGGAAGGATAGAAGAAGGTAGGCTGGAAGTGAGGAGGGTGATTCCCTGTGACTCCCTTCCCTACAAGAGCTGATGAGTTGCCACTTCCTCTGAAACAGTCTGGTGAACAGCACCCACCTCTCCTGCACCATGTCAAACACACCTGCCAGAGGCTCCTTTTGACTTCTGTTCCATACCTTCATCCTGGCCATCTCCTTTCAGGCACACACGCTTAGGTAGGTTAATATTATTGGTAAGCTAGGGACAAGGAGACAAATTTTTGGGATATGAGAAGTGCTCCATTTCCTCTTATTATAAGACCAAGCCTTTCCTCAATTTAGGGAGGTGGGATTTAGGCAAATCAATGAAGTTTTATTGAGTCAGAATAGGCAAGAACTTTATCTTGAACAGAGAATCTATACTCTTCAATGAGGTCCATGGCTTGACCTTAGCAGAGGCCTCCAGCTGAGGGTACGGCGCAGATTTTGCAGGTGTCAGATGTAACAGTGCAGTCTGGGGAGAGCCATAAGTATCTGGGGATTTGAACAAGGGAAGGGGGGAAAGAACCTGGTCAGGGGACGCTCTGGTTTCTCTTTCCTTTTTATTCATTAAATAGGAGGACAAATCATATAAGCTAGACAGGAAGGGAGAGATTTTCTTTTCCTCCTACTTGGCTGAGACAAAGGAAAAAGGAATGACCCAGGGGAACGGTCCTGTGAAATCCTCTTTAGACACTTAGATACTGGGCAAGATTTGAAAGTTTCCTGGGCTTTTCTACTTCAAGATTGTTGCTTTTTATTTTGGTTGAACTGGAGTAAGAAAATGTGTTTTCTGAAAATGCTCAACCTATCAGTTCTTTGCATGTTACTTTATTTTATTTTATTTTTTAAGGAAGCTGACTTGCTAGAAAATTGAACAAGTCTCTCCACCTCACCAAACAGACAAAAAAAAGTAGACGTCATAGGTTGGTGCCCTCTGAGTGGTTTTTGCTGCCCTTGAATGCTTTAGGGGCTTACGTCATGAAGGTGGAAGACAGATCATACCTCTGTTATGGAAAATATTTTGATGTATTATTTCTTTTTGCTTTATTTTCTCTTTGTTTTGGTTTCTTCACTATGGTTATTTTACACTTAGTCTGTTTTCTAAATTAAGACTTGGCAATTTGTCAAGGAAAAGAAACCATAAACTGCTAAAGAAAGGGAGAGGAAAGGAAATAGAACTAGTAAAACAGAAATCTGAACATATGGTGACCATATTTTCTGCATGAAAAATCAGTACACATGGTCTGGGAACTGTCTATCTGGGACAATAACACCAGATATTTCATATGAGTAGTGTCCCTGACAACTTGGCACATGCAGTTTCTAGTTCCATACAGACCTTAGAATAAGGGATCTCTGTGGACACCTCCCATTGGCAGCTGCAGATGGCATAACTGCATCCTTGGAGAGGATTCAACTTCAGTTTTGCTCTCAAGGGAATATTAGCAGAGAAGGTGCATGTGTCCCCCATTCTTGTGAAAGCATCAGCTGACTTTGAATATCAAAGTCTCTACCAATATTCAGATGTTTGAATGGACTGGAGTTTCTAATGTAAAAACTTCAGGAAAGCACCCACAAGGTCACAAAGAGCTCAAAACTGCATATCCAATTTCATACCAACCTTACTATGCACTAAAAAGTTATTTAAAATCAGGCTTGATTCTTACTGAATCACTTTTATTTGAAAGTGATTCACACAGAGCTATATACTTAAAAATAGGTGAATAGGGAGCAGAGGGGATTTTTAGGACTGTGAAACTACCCTGTTTGATGCTATAATGGTGGATACATTTGTCCAGACCCATAAATTGTACAACACCAAGAATGAACCCTAATGCAAACTGTGGACTTTAGGTGATGATGATGTGTCAATGTAGGTTCATCAGTTGTAACAAATGTAGCACCCTGGTGGGGATGTTGATAATGGGGGAAGCTACGCATATGTGGGAACAGCTGAGATATGGGAAATCTCTGTACTTTCAATTTGGCTATGAGCCTAAAACTGCTCTAAAAAATGAAAGTCTTCATTATAAACAAAAGTATGTGTTTTTCTGCAAGCAGATTTCTTCACTACTATATGTTCTTAGCTCATTTCATGCTTGTATGTGTTTGTGTGCCTTTTATATTCCAGTGGTTGGGAACATTTTTGTCACAATAAAAACTTCCGAAAAGAATTGTCTTGTAGAAGTGTTCTTCCTCTATTTTAATTTGCATGACAAAAGTTCAACTTTTACCCTGTCCATATTGGGAAAGACTAGAGTGATACCGAATGATTAAGAATTGTGTTTTAGATTGTCTGTCTCTATATGAATGTCACATGCTTGTATTTGACATGATTACAAGCTATTCAATACGTACAAACATAGAACACTATGAAGATGGGAGCTTAGGTTTTGTGAATATGAAGAAAAACATTTTTTGGTATGTCTTCTTTTAAACTGTCATCTGGAGTTTATTTCTGAAACAGTATTTTGGCTTTGATGTTTTAATAGGCCTGGAAGTCATTTTGGAAGTGCTAGTTTCCTCATTCATTTTCCTGAATCCATGCCCTCCTCCACCATCAGAACGCTAATGAAAATTAAAAGGCAACATTGGTCTCTTGGGATGCAAAGGCCCCTTTTGTTCTTTGATTCCTATCTTTCATTCTTCAGTCCTCCTCTGTAGGGAAGCTAACATTCTATCTCTGCCAGTTCAAGTTTATTAGAAGGCAAAAAGAAACATTACTGGTTATAAGACTGACAAATGGTCCCAAGCTGAAGCCAGAAATTATAAATGACATATTGGTCTCCAGGATGAGGAATTCATTTTACTTTTAACTCAAGCCCCAAAGAACTAAAATAATAGGGAGAAAAAAATGCAGTTCCCATAGCATAAGCTACCCTTGTGCTTAAATAAGAAATTCTACATGCTCCCTGCACCTCCACCTCCCTACTCATGTCTCCAGATTTCTGCATCATGGAAATTTCTGCCGAAATTTGGGCTTCCAACCTCAAATACAACCACAAGCTGTACTTCCTGCCAGAAAGTAAATTGGTAGGTTGCAGTGTTCTGTCTCCATTTATTACCAAGTAAATGGATTTGGGAGCCCTGTTTTGTTAAGTAGCAATATCTGGCCATGTCTCAAAAGAACACTGTTTACTACATTCTAACAGCTGTGCTTAAAAGTAAACAATGGTTTCTTCCTAATAAAGAGCTTCCAAAATGCTTTTCCCAGGTGTTGGCACATACTGTACTCACTTTAGACATTCTCCATAAAAGTGCTAGGACACAGAATCCCTTGCTTTTATTTCTCCTCTACTGCCCTTTGTGTTGCGGTCTCATGAAGTTCCTGATGTAAAAATGGGCCTTCTCATCGACTCAGGGTAGACTTACAATACAAAGGACTTTGAGAATCTTGGCTAAATGTCATAAAGTCCAATCTAGTAATGTGGCTAAAGAGCTAAAGGCACCTGCGCAGGACCATGCTGAAGAGGGTTCTAAAGTCAGGCTGCCTTTGTGTGCCTCTTGGCTTTGCCAGTAACATTACCTGTGCATCTTGGGGGAAGTTATTTAGTTTCTCTTTGTTTCAGATGCCTCAGCTGTAAACTGGGAGCATGAGTAGTACTTACCTAATAAGAATAGCGAAAGTACCATGTGAGACGTGTGTAAGATTTTTAGAATAGTTTTTTTGGTCAGCGTTAGTTATTTTTAAAATGCCCATCTTCCCTCTTACTGCTATCTCTTCTTCCCTTTTTCCCTTCCTTACCCTTCTTTTCTGGGTCTTCATACTCCTGACTGAAGATCTGATATATTCATGATAACAATGCAGTATTCTCTGGACCTACCCTTTCTCCTGCCCACAGTTGAAAACCTTGTCACCTGGGCCCTCCATGTAGGACACAATGAAGTAATTCATATTAAGATGTTTAATGACTGAAAATGTCTATGCATGTTCTTTTAACAGAACACAAGGTCTTAATTCAAAAGAAGTGAGCTTCAAGACAGGATATAGCCCCACTGGTGGTTGTCACCAGGATATTTTTGACATCTTTCAAGTCAGATATAGAAGAGTGTGGTCAATGTTACCTGATTAAAGGGCTACTGATTGGTTTCCTTGCCCATTTAAAACTTATCGTCATCTAAATAAGAATTTTCATTTGTGCATCTGCTTTGGCATTTTACAGAGATTATCTCAATCCTAAAAATATCTGCAAGGTAGGTGCTAGTATTGACCTTTTACAGATGAAAGAACTAAGGCTCAGAGAAACGATTTTCCCAAAGGCAAGTGAGAGTTAAGAATCTGAGATTTGAGCCTGGGTTGTGATCTAGGTCTGTCTGCCTCTGAAGGCAGTGCTGTAATCACTGTACAAGGCCATATAGAAATAGGATCAGCCACCTGGTTTATGTCATTCCTTCTTCGGGTGTCAACCAGAGGACGGCAGGCTCAATGGCGGCCTCCTCCTGTGATTACCTCAATTCCTAGCACAGTGCCTTAACATAGCAGGGTCCCACTACATGTTTGTGGAGTAATGAGTAGATGTGTGAATCCTATCTCAACTTTGTACCTTCCTCAAGGAATGCGTTGTGACCAATGACTGTTGGCTGAATTTGTTAATTGTCATAATGGCTTTAGAAGTATTAGGGAAGTAAACTACCGCCTCCACTCTACACAAATCGTCTTAGCACATTAAGTCAGAAAAAAACCAGATATCTGAATTACATCATACGCACCTTACTCAGAGCTGCCTGCAGTTGAAAACAACATCTAACATTATATGATTAATTTGATCAATAAGAACTAGATTTTTTTTAACTCTAGGATTTAAATGATCACACTTAGATGGTCCCCACTGTTCAAATTAACTGACCTCTGTGAGATCCTTATTCTTTTTTCTTTTTTTGTATTACCTACCTAACCACAGATGCTCCAGCCTACCTATTTCAGTATTACTGTCTCCTGAGTGTGGTCCTACTTGCATCAATTTCATCATCGTGGGGGAAATGTATTTCTCATTGCACAGTAAGACTGTTGCAAGTTGAATGGTGAAACCCTATAACTGCTTGCTGTGCTGAAAATGAGTCTCATAGTGTCCTATATTTTACTGCCCTATGAACCAAATTACTGAGGAATAATGAAAGTAACAATAACCAGAAGCATAGATCCAATATAACTACAAATTCCTGCTCCAAAGATTGGCTTTCTATTTTAAAATAAAGGGATGTCATGTGGTGCATAACTAAGAAATTCTTTTTGATACTTTGGACTTTCTATTTTTTTAAGTCAAAAAAATGATATTGATAATGTTAAAATACAGTACATAGTTGAGATTTTCAAAGGGGGGTGCCGCTGTGTCTCTCTTGCGTGACTGACTTCTAACTTCAAAATAACAACAAAAATAACCACGGACTAAAACTCCAGGGCACAGAATGAAGATTTTATACCATATCATAATTATAAAAAATAAAGCACATATCTGGGATTCAAATAAATTGCAAAAGCAAAACAGAAAGCTAATGTTGTCTATTAGAATTCAAAAATATTTTTGTCACTCTGAGTTAAAATGGCACAAGAAGCAGCTGATATGTGCAATTGCTTGGGGATATGCAGAAACACCCAACCAAATTTTAAAATGTTAATTACATTGTTATAAATTTGTTTGATATTTTGTTTCTTAGGTTTGTTTTCTTTCAGGAACTTGGTTGTGTTCCCAATGAAATGGTTTGAAAGCCTTTTTAGCAAGTTAGCTTGGTGCATATATATAACATATTAAAAGGTGATTAAAGTCAAAGGGACCTACAATCAGCCAGTAAAGGTTGACACACTAAAACTGTATTTTCTTTTTTCTGAGATATTCAGAGAGAAAAAATTGCCATAACTTATTTTTTACTCCAAAGAGTAAAAAAGAAAAAAATGCTTACTTTCCTTGTCTCTGCTTTTGTGCATTGCTGATTGTGCTGATACACAAATTACTTTCCATATATTGATTTTCTGTTGAAATGAGAATCTGCAAGATCCTCCAAAATGAATGGGCAGGGTCTTAATATCTATAAATAGGGCTGGTACTGATTCAGAGAAACTTCAGTTTTCAAGCTGCAAGTGTTACATGGAAGGAAGTAGGTCCACACTGCAGGCTGGGGATTGATGGTGCCTGAGGTTTCATAAGCACTCTGGACAGCGACTCTGCTAACCTAGGCATCCCTGAGGTGAGGGCACACCATCCAGGGGCAATGGATATGTCACCAGTGTGACCACTCAGGCCATCTAGATGTTGAGTTTTGTCCATTTTAATACAACATAGCCAAAAGGAAACTACAATGTAAGGAATATGATATCATCAGAATAAAACCTAGGTTGAGCCTGGGTAGTATAATCTCCAAAGAGAAGGATTCAGCATCATGTGCCCTAACTTTTCTTTGTATTATTAGAGCCCTCTCACTTTCGTTTCTATTACCATGACGCATATACTCTTGGTTTTCTCACAGTACAGCAGAGGTATGCTAAACCTTTCAAAAACAATTTCAAATGCTGAAGGTAAACAAGCATCTATAAAATACAGATGTTATGGACAGAATATTACAATCTGTATGTACAGTATTAGCATTTTCTTGTAATATTATCCTGATTTTCACTCCTAAAAGAGCATCTTAGACAGGTTTCTCATTTCCTAGCTTTCCAATTGCATCTCAGTTCTTGTTTCTAGAAAATGCCTTTATTCACAAGGTTAGGAAAGATATTTTCACTCTGCTCCTCTCCTGAGGTCATCTAATTCTTTCTAACTTTTAATCTGAGGATAAGCCTTTGCCCTGGAAGAATGCCAGAACAGGATTCATTTTTTGGTGAAAATTGACTCTATGTATAAGAAGTGGTTTGGTCCACAGAGCCACAAAATACAATATTCCCTTCAACTAGCATCATAGCCATATGTGTTAATTAGGTTGCTTTTGTACATAAGTAACAGAAACCTGATTTAACTGGATAAAACACAGAGGAAATATATAGTCTCTCTTAGTGGAGGCAGGAAAGGGACCAGGATTGGTTCATCCAGTAACTCAAAGATGTCAAAAAGGATTTAGTTTTTTTTTCCATCTCTTTGTCTGCCATTCACATTGTAAACTTCATACTAAAGCCAGACCCCTGAAAATAATAAAAATGCTGCCAGTAACAAATGAAGCTACTGGCTTTCTCAACCATTCTGGCAGAAGAGAGAGAAAGCATTTCTTTCTGTGATGCTTACTACAGAGAAGCCTCTGGAATTGTCCCCTGATGTCTTATTGACCTGATTTGAATCACATGCTTACTCCTGAACTGATGTCTGTTTCCTGGGAGATGCCATGAGCTGTTGGTCTATGCCTGGTTTCTTGATGCTTATGTGGGTAAAGAAATTTCCGTGATTGGCATGGACTACTTAGTGTCCATCCTGGAATGGAGTCAATCCCCTTTCATGATGAACAATGAGAAGTGGTAGAATCAATACTGGATGGTCAATCAAATGTGTATCTTCCCATACAAAATTAATTTCCCACAAAGCCCAATTGAAAGGCTACCCCATTATGCTCTATCTTTTCAAATGACAACTCTCTGGACTTTCTTCACAAGGGGCCCAGTAGGCATTATAAATAATGATGAAGATGGTATGGAAACATCTTCAATCTTAGGGCTATCTTGGAACTCTGAGATCCTCTATTGTATCTGCAGGAGAATGAAAACTCTCTCATTTTTACACACACATTTACCTCTGGGATAGATCTCAGGCTATACGTGTTTAGCTTCAGCTAATTACAGATATGGAGAGGGGTTCTGCTGTACTCCCTACCCCTTTATCAGCCTTTTGCTTCCCGTGTTCATACAGCTCTGGAGTTTAGGAGTTATTTGGGACAAAGGGATTTTTATATAGAAGTGAGTTTGATAGAGACAAAGCAAAGCCACGGGGCTTCAATGGATGTCACTTATGCTGGCTGTCAATAGCCAGTGAACAATGCTAGCTGCTGTCAAAAGTAGATCCTCACTGAACAACAGCGGGGAGGACAGCTGGTATAGCTGGGTTTTCTTTTTTTTTCTTTTTTTCTTTTGGTTCAGACATCTCTCACATGAGTAGAGACTGAGTGGTTTATAAGCTCTAACTCTGTATCCATTGTGCTCCTGGGTGTTAGCAATGGCCTGGACTGCTGGGTGAATGACTTCAATCTACACAGTCTCTTCACAGTGGGACCTCTTGCCCCAAGCTCCACCAGTCATCATTTGTTTATTTCTGAATCATCAGCACAGCCCAGTGAATCCCTTTTAGACTCTTGCTTATCAGTTTTTCCTCCAAATCAATTGATTATTTCTTGAGGTGTTTCTTTCTTACCTTAAGAAAAGACTCCTAACTTTTCGTTATACATGCATATTGACGAAGCAATATTTTGTCTTTAGCTCTTTGCATTCCTACATAGTTTAGATGTACCCATAGAAAGAACCAAGTCATTACACAGAAGCCTCCTGCATAAAAACACCATTTCAACTATTTGGCATTTCATTAGCCTAAAGAACCTTAGATTGCACAGTAAACAGAACCATCAACAGCTCAAGCGTGTTTATTTGGTCTTTGCCAAGCCAGGAGTGCATCTGGAGCATTAAGCATCTTGGCTATAAGCTGCCTTCTCAGCTTCCTCCTTTGCCATTTGGCCCCTGCATGCAACTCTCAACCCTCAACCCTATGGCTGCTTTTCCCTAGCCCTGGCAAGGTCAAATAGTGATTTGCCCTTCACTGTGCAGCTACCTCCACTCAGAAAGGAAGGTAAAAAGACTATGTTTTTGACTTCTTTTGTGTTACTGGTGAACAGTGCGGTTGGTCCCTCAGTGTCCAGAGGCCTCCATTTGTACATGGAAACTCACAGAACCATGGAGTTGGAATCGAGCTTACCCAGTTCAATCAATGTAGAGATGAGATTTAGCCCAGCGTGGTGGCCAGCATTTTGAGAGGCTGAGGCAGGCGGATTGCTTGAGCTCAGAAATTTGAGACTAGCCTTTGAGACTAGACTTTGAGACAATAAATACAAAAATTAGCCAGGCATGGTAGTGCATGCCTGTAGTCCCAGCTACTTGAGAGGCTGACGTGGGAGGATGGCTTGAACCTGGAAGGTGGAGGTTGCAGTGAGCCAAGATTATGCCCGTGCACTCCAACCTGAGTGACAGAGCCAGATCCTGTCTCAAAAATAAAAAACAAAAAACAACCCCTGCCACGCCAGAGATTTAGACTTACTCAACCCAGTCCCAAAGCCGACTAGTGGTGGGAAGTGAAGCTTGAGGAATCTGAAGAAAAATAGACTATATAATAAGATGCAAGAGTAATCCCTAAATCGTGTTAGATTAGAAACAGAAATGGTGGATAGCTTGGCTCCAGTTTCCTCAATTCTTACCTTTATCTGTCCTTAAACATGTAATTTTGGTCAGATCACTAGCCAACAATTCATATTTAAAAGGGTCATTGCATATAATTAGCTCTTAGCCACAATTTAAACAGACAGGAAAAAGCAAAAAAGCAAAACAACAACAACAACAACAACAACAAAAAACCTAACAGGTTGCTGGTTTTATGAGGATCACAGGGAAACTTACAAATCATGAAACCCCTAAACTTTAGCTACTGTTGTTATAAATTACGTATTATAATTCTTGCTTTTATAGTCTTTAAAATATTCAGACAAAAGACTCTAAAGGGACAAAGTAATTATCAGTTATAACAGAAAAAAATTTAAATCAATGTTCTATATGTGTTGTCTTTCATATTACATTATCCTTAGTTTTTATCCTCCCTGTTGCAGACACAGGAAATGAGTAAAAAGACACAGTGACAGTGGGATAAAAGGAGCCAAAAACCTAGTCTTTTTTCAGCATGTTATGCGTTTTCATGTATTGCCTCATTCAAGTTTTTTTTTTTTTTTTTTTTTTTTTGAGACAGAGTCTTGCTCTGTCACCCAGGCTGGAGTGCAGTGGCGCCATCTTGGCTCACTGCAAGCTCCGCCTCCTGGGTTCACGCCATCCTTCTGCCTTAGCCTCCCTAGTAGCTGGGACTCCAGGCGTCCGCCACCACTCCCGACTAATTTTTTTTACTTTTAGTAGAGACGGAGTTTCACCGTGTTAGCCAGGATGGTCTGATCTCCTGACCTCGTGATCCTCCCGTTTCAGCCTCCCAAAGTGCTGGGATTACAGGTGAGAGCCCCCACGCCCAGCCACCTCATTCAATATTTATAATAAGCTCCTCTGAAGAAAAAAGTAAGGAAACTGAGGCTCAGAGAGAATAAGTTTCCCAAGATCACACAGAACTTGGACTTACGTGTAGACCTTTCTAACTCCAAAACCTGCCCTCAAGATAGGCTGGTTTCTTTTCTTTTCTTCTTCTTCTTCTTCTTTT
This sequence comes from Homo sapiens, assembly GCF_000001405.40. NCBI lineage: Eukaryota > Metazoa > Chordata > Mammalia > Primates > Hominidae > Homo > Homo sapiens. The sequence continues at coordinate 76,628,641 of NC_000013.11, read as the reverse complement.
TTTTTTTTTTTTGCAGAACATGCAGGTTTGTTACATAGGTATACACATGCCTTGTTGGTTTGCTGCACCTACCAACTCATCATCTAGGTTTTAAGCCCCATATGCATTAACTATTTGTCCTGATGCTCTCCCTTGCTTGCTTCCACCACCCCTGGCCCCAGCTGACAGGCTCTGGTGTGTGTTGTTCCTCATCCTGTCTCCATGTGTTCTCATTGTTCAGCTCCCTCTTATGAGTAAGAACATGTTGTGTTTGGTTTTCTGTTCCTGCATTAGTTTTCTGAGGATGATGGCTTTGTTACATCATCCATGTCCCTGCAAATGACATGATTTCATTCCTTTTTCTGGCTGCATAGTATTTCATGGTATATCTGTACCACATTTTTTAAATCTGATTTATCATTGATGGGCATTTGGGTTGGTTCCAAGTCTTTGCTATTGTGAATAGTGCTGCAATAAACATACATGTGTATGTGTCTTTATAGTAGAATGGTTTACAATCCTTTGGGTATATACCCAGTAATTGGATTGCTGGGTCAAATGGTATTTCTGGTTCTAGATCCTTGAGGAATTGCCACACTGTCTGTCACAATGGTTGAACTAATTTAAATTCCCACCAACAGTGCAAAAGCGTTCCTAGTTGATTTCTTTTCTTACTTTGTGCATGTATTTTAAAAGTCAGTGTGACAAGAGGTGTGTATGTGTAGTGAGGCAAGAAGGGCTATGCACACCAGATACCCTGGCTCTCTTTGCACATTTCTTAATTTATTGTTTCATAGTTTGCTTACTGACAACTATTGAGGCACTGTGAGATAGAGATGAACCTGACACTGTCCCCATCCTCGAGAACCTTAGGTCTTGCAAAAGGAGACAAACAAATGACTACCATAAAATCTTATAGGTCCTCAGATACATGTGTACAGAGCAGTGTGTTTCTAAAATTCTGCATAGGAGGGAGAAGTTTATGTTGTCAGTTGGCTCCAAACATCTATTTCCACCTCTTTCTATGTCCTGTCTTGTGCTGCAAAAAGCTAGAAAGCAAAAATTTAGTTTCTCCAGACTCCCTTGCAGCTAATGTTCCCAGTGGAAAATGGATTCTGCCAAATAGATGCATTTGCATGAGACTTGGAAAGCAGAAGAAAGGCAGAGGCCATCTTCTTGCCACTCCTGCTGGCAAGCAAGGGTCAGAACTGTGAATGTGGAGAGCGAGTTAAAACAGCTGAAATCAACCTATCTATCACCAGCATGGTGGGAGTCCTAAGACAGTTGTGGTGGCTGCATCAATTGGATTGGTGGCATAGTCTTTCTAAGCCCTATAGCAGAATATTCTTGAATCCAATAATTCTCAAGACACCCCCTGGCTTCCTTTCCTCCAGCTCTTCCAACAACTTTTAAGCATTCAATTTTTGTAATCAATCACTTCTGTATTCATACATGTAGAATAGTACCTTTCCCTGTCCATATGCCAGACAGACATAAAGATGTTTAGGGAAAGGAATTTGTTGGAAGTGAGAGGTACTACGAAACATCTTGAGAAACCATTTGTATGGCAAGCAACTTGTGGTTTCTGCAAATGCACGCTAATTTTGATTGGTGTAAAGTGGAAAAGCTAATCAAATTTGAGAAAGTATAAAAGCTGCCCCAACCAACCCTTTGCACCTTCTCCCTAGTCTCTATAGTCTCAAAAAAAAAAATGAGAAAGGTACTGAAAAGGGGTGGCTGGTCCATGAGATGTGGGTTTGAAGGTAGGGAGGTTGGTCAGGGAAGTCTCCAAAAAGGAAGTTGAGTCTTGGGAAATGGTGGCCCTTTGACTGGCATGTATGGGGAAGGGTAGAGTATTCTAGGTGGAGAAGCACAAGAATCTGAGTCCTGAAGGTCAAAGAAGGCATTGAAAATTGGTGAAACTAAAAGTTACTCAGTGTGGCTAGAGTACAGAGGGGGGTGGCAGAGGGAATCCTAGAGAGGTCCTCACTGGCCCAGACCTGCAAGGTCAGGTATACCTCATCATGGAGTTTGCATTTCATCTTGCAGGTAATAGAGAAGCTTTGATAGGTTTTCAGCCAGGAAGTGACTTGATTGGTTTGAATTTGGGGAAGAACACACTGAGTGCAGCATTGAGGATGGAGAATGAAATTGGAAGCCGCGGGATGCTTGGGAAGTTAAGTGAGAGATGATTTGAGATGGTGAGCACTTGATTCCAGAGCTGCAGATTGTTCCCATGAGAAGCTTAATTGTGACACAAAAAGGAGTAGTTGAGCAGTAACTACAGAGAGCTACAAGATCACGAGTGCTTTGCATATATCTATGTGTCTGTGTGTCTATCATCCATCTATCAATCATCTATAGAACTTTAGCAAGCTTGTTGGTTAAATGGAAGCAACAGGAAGAAAGTTACTGGAGATATGAGAGTCAAATTTATTTATCTTTTTAAAGTTTAAGTGAATTATATACTATAATAAAATCAAGTCCATATTTTTCTAATTATAAAAATCAAAATCACAAAATAGTAGAAGCTCATGAGGGTAATAATGTTTAAATCTTTTGGTTGAGAAGAATGGTAAAGAAAATAATGTCCCCTTTTAAAGATGTTCACATCTTACTTCCCAAAGCCTTTTGGTATGTTATCTTACATTGTCAAAGGAACTTTGCAGATGTGAGCAAGTTAAGGATGTTGGGATGGGAAGATTATTTTTGATTATCTGGGTGGATAAAGTATAATCACAAGGGTCTTTATGAGAAGGAAGCAGGAGGACCTCCATCAGAGTGAGAGATGTAACAACGGAAAGTAGGAGAGTGGGAGAGGGAGAAGGAGAAGAAGAGAAGGAGGGAGAAAGGAGGCCTCACTGCTGGATTTGAAGATGAAGGAAAGCTCCATGAGCTCAGGAATGCAGGTGGCTTCTAGAAGCTTGGAAAGGCAAGGAAATGGATTATTTCCTGGAGTCTTCAAAAAGAACTCAGCCCTACAGGCACCTTGATTATAAGTCTTCTGACCTCTGCAACTGTTAGCTAATAAATTTGTGTTGTTTTAAACTACTAGGTTGGTATTAATTTGTTACAGCAGCATGCAAGATGCAAAAAATATATGAAAACCGGAAAACATTAAAAAAAAGGATAGACTTGACTACATAAAAAATTTGTTTTTGATATGATTTCCAAATCACAAACCTGCTGAAGGGCAAGTGAAAACTATGGAAGGTCATATGAAAGGCAACAAAAGGTTAATGATAATGATATATAAAGCATACTAAAATCAATATAAAAACCCAATTCAATGGAAAATGAGCAAAAAATAGTGTCAGAAGAAATACAAATAAACAGACAAATGTGTTTTGCCAAGAAATGAAAATTAAAACATTAAAATAACCTTTTTAAAATCTGGCCAGCTAATGATGATTTGTTAAACACCTACTGCTGGGCAGAGTGTGGAACACGATTGTCGTGAACCCTAGGTGAAGTATAATTTGGTTAAAGCTTTTTGGAAGGCAGTTTGACAATTATTATTTGTATGGTAAGTATACATACTCTTTGATTTAGCAATTTCATTTCTAGGATTTCATTCTTTAGGAATGCTGACTCCAGTGCACAAAGGTATACATCTAAGAGTGCTTGTAGAAGCATTGTTTGTATAGAAAAAATGAAAATACTTACAATGGATATTAATAGGAGATTGATTGAATGGCATTTGCTATATCCAAATCATGGACTATGCTGCCTTTTAAAACATTGAGGTGGGTAAGAACAACATTTATTGTATAATATATCAATAAGCAACCAAACCAGATTATAGAATTATATGCACATTTTGATTCTATTATAAAAATATGTATATATGTGCTATATGGATTTATGTTTGTGAATGATATGCACATACAATTTGTATCAGTGTATGCATATGAAAAATTTGGTGGAATTTAAAAGCAAACATAACAGAGGAAAGGCTGAGATTACAGGAGACTTTTATGTTCTGCTTTATTCATTTTTCTAGCACTTGAAATTTTTTTACAGCATATGCTTTTAAATTCAGGAATAAAAAGTCCTATAAAATTGTGAAAATATATTATGGTAGATGCTTAACGACTCGTAAGTGACTCTTAGTGGGGCATAGTGGAGAACTATTTTTCTCTGGGTAACAAATGACCAATCTAATTACCTGTGGAAGAAAGAATATAGCAATTATTTTTGCAGAGTAGACAACAAATAACTACTTGTTGAGTGAATAAAGGACTACATAGAGACATATTGATATGCCTGGATAGCTAAGCATAGAAAGGCTCTATAAATTTTTCATAGGATCTAGTAATCTTATTTATTTGATGCTACCTTAGGAAAGAAGTGCTCAAATATCTCTGGCCATTTCTTTCTCTCTTCTCGCAATTCCTCAAGCTGTCCTCAGTGTCTTGACACCATGGAATCTTTATATCATACATGCTATAAACATAACTTATTAGGGAACTCAAGAACAGTGTTTTATGTTGATTAGGAATGAATTATTTCATGAAGAAGTTCCAGAGGAAGTAGTCTCTGAAGTGCAATATTCTGAATTATGACATCTAAGTGGCAGCAACTAAATTGAGTAAGATCTTGAAAGGTGTTTGAAGACTTACCATTTTGAATGTGATTGTTTAATTATACAGCACTATTTAAAAATACCAATCTTGACAGGTTTTAAAAAATTTTGGCCATTAGCTACATCATAAATGTCAGTGAGCTTTTGAACATTCATATAATCAACTTCAAATGGGCAGATAGAACCAGGTGATTACTGAAGTTTGCTTATATCTGCAGATTGCTTAATAAGGTTAGGACTTACAGTTGAGGCTTTAGAACTATTATTTATTCATATGCTTTTTTTCTTTGTCACAATTATTGGGACAAGGCATAGACACCTGGTCCATTCAATTTCTCTGACTAGGAACATTGGAATTGGATTCAGGAATGGTCATTTCTTCATATAAGTGGAACTGTCACACATGAAGATGAGGTGGTGGTGGATAGAGAGTAGAGAAAGCCTGTCAGTGGGGGAAAGAGAAAGAGAAGAATGAGGAGGGAAAGGAGATGGAGGATCAGAATGATGAAGAGGAGGAGAAAGACACAAGGAAGAGAAGAAGGAGGAAGAGTTGTAGAGGAAGAAAATGTGGAGGGAGGAAAAGGAGGAGAGGAGGTGGAGAAAGTAGATATATGCAGAAAGGAGCAGAGACAGAATACAGTAAGAGAAAAACTGCCTAAGTTTCTGAGGGATTCAGAGTTCCACTTCCTTCTTGGGTCAAGATTATATTTGTATAACCAGTTCTCCCTTTTCCTTAAGCTACCTTGGTGTGATTTCTACTGCCTACAAGCAAAGAGTACTAATTAGCACAAGAGAAGAAGTAGAAGTGCCTTTATTTATCCAGTATTATTTCAAATAAGCCAGTAAATCAAATATTGGGCTCTGGAGCTGAATAACTGTGAGTCTGCCACCTTAGGCTCAGCACATTTTGGTTATTTTATTCTAACACTGGGGTTTCCCCTGGAAGCAGGGGGCAGTTGGCTGCATTGGGGGAATCACATCATCACACAGGTAGTCTGTCTTTTCCTTCTTTCCCTTCTGACCACAAATGTACACACACAGTATATTGGAAGTAGAAGGAACTTTGAAAATCATCTGGTGCAGCCCCTTAGTTTAACAGAGAAGAAAACAGAGGGTCTAAGAGATAAAGAGGTTTATTCAAGGTTATGTGATAAATTAGTAGCAAAACCATGACCAGAACCTTCCAACATCAGACTCCTCCCTGTGTTCTGCCTGCCTAAGTGAACATCTGTGTTGGGCCACAGCCAAGGAAAAAACAGTGCTGTAGGGAGATGGTGATAAACATCATGAAAAACAGCAATTTTCATCAACTCTCATCTTCTTGGGAGATGGCTTAGAGTTCTTGCTTTTTCTTGCAGAGCTTTCAGCCTTGTTCTCACAGCAGGAATAGCGTTCAACTTCTCAGCCTTTATTTCCAGGGTCAGTATACTAAATAAGATGAAAGCCCTGAGCTTAATTGGAACTTCTTTTGTAAAACAGGATGGAAGGGTGATTGAAATGTCAAAACATTTTCCAGTGATCTGGGCAACTTACCTTTCCCTAAAGCAATTGCCAAAATTTTCAGCATGACATTTGCATTGTGGAAAGGCTTGCAGGGAATTAGAAATCATACCAGGCCAAGTTTCATCCTCTGCAATGATGGAAATATAGAATTCCCACTGAGGTTTTGCACACATTTTTGTTCTTTAAATTGTTTTATTGGCTATTGACATGGCTTCCAAGCTATTTCATGAACTGTACTTTTCCTATGTAGAATTTGCTGTCAATAACTCCAGAATTTAAATTTCAACAATTTAATGGGACAAATGTATTAATTTTAAAGAAGTCAAATGAATATTTACTGTGAAACTTAATAAGCAACAAGTCCATATTTATGGAGATGTCTTAATGAATATTGATTTATATACACTATTCATTTTGTTATTTTCAGTTAATAGTAGCTAGTGTGTACTTCTAATTACTCATGATTTTTTGCATATTCAAAAAGGATGACACATTTAGCTAGAGTCTTTTGTTTTGGTATTTGAGAATTCAAGGCTGTGCTATTTTGAGGTTTGAAGTTTAGCTTGTGCTATTGTTTGAATGTGTCTCCTAAAGTTCACATATTGAAAACTTAATTCCCAATGCAACAGTGTTGAGATGTGGTTCTTTTAAGAGATGATTCACTCATGAGGGCTCTGCCCTGATGAATGGATTGATGCCATTATTGCCACAGTGGATTAGATGGGAGTGTTTTCCTAGTAAAAGGAAAAGTTCAGCCCCCTTCCTCTCTTACTCTCTCATACTCTGTTGCTCTTCTGCCTTCTGCCATGGAATGACATGGCAAGAAGGCCCTCCTCAGATGTTTGCACCTGGATTTGGGACTTCCTGAGCTCCAGAACTGTAAGAAATAAATTTATTTTCCTTATAAATCACCCAGTCTGTGGTATTCTGTTACAGCAGCACAAAATGGACTAAGACATCTTAATAATTTTTTATGATTAAAGTATATTTATGGTATTTACAAGGTGTTAGGAAACACAATTAAAATGTTTACCTACCATTAGTTGAACATTCTTGTTACTTGACATACATTCTCCCATTTTCTTGCCAGAGCAACCCCATAAGGTAGGCATTGTCACTCATGATTACCTTCTTCTTACAATTGAGACAACAGAGTCCCAGAAAGATTGAGAAATTTAAGACCACACAACTACTCTTTGGGTGGGTTGGAAAGTAATCCCAAAGTGTTGCTGACTAAGGCCGGTGCTTTTTTCTCTGCCAAGATTCAGCCAGCAACCACTCAGCTGCAGTTTATTCATTAATTAACGTACTTACCAAACATTTGTCAAGTCTCACAATATATTTACCGACAGGCTGTGGCAGTGCAGAGATGAATAAGATCCAGACCCTTCTCTGGAGGTGGAAGGTAAAGATGGTTATACGTGGAAACAGATGATTACTAAACAATGTGGCCACCACTGTCACAAAACTATGTATACAAAGCCAACCATTATAAGAAACACTTTAGTAATAATAGATTTTACTTATTTCTCCACTGAAGCCATTTTATTGGCATTCTTCAAGTTCCTTTATGTAAGTCAAAATAGGAGAGCTATTTAATAGCTTCAGTACTTCAGATTATAATAATTCAGGCTAGACATCTGCCAAGTTGTCCCACTCTAGTTAGATTTTACCTTATTTGTTTACACTAGTGAATTCTGGGCTAGGGACATTGTAAATGATAAAGCAAGCCAAGCTGACATTCCAACCAAGAGATGACTTGCATCCAGAGTATAAATCAAGAGATCTTTCTTCTCTTCCAAAAAGCCAGGGAAGCAGTACTTTTGCTACATCAGTATTCTACCATGTGGGTTAGTCTTGCAGACATTTTTCTCTGAAACCCCTTAAGAAAGGTATGATTTTGAAAGCAAACATTTTCTTCAGATTATAATTTTTTCAGGAAACATTTGTTTAGTTACTTTGAGGTAGTCAATGAGGCACTCCATTTCTAGCTTTCAAGTGCTGCTAAAAGCATTGGTATATGCAAGGGATGAACATTTCTTTGAAGAAAACCTGTTTTATTCTAAATCATTTCAACATCTATACATGGGAAATAAGAGCTACTCTGCACTTTCACAGGGCTTTAAATAGGTTCAAATGAGATAATGTAGGCAAAATATTTTGCAAACTCTATCAGATAAGTATTGTAGCTCTTATAATAGTAAACTTATGTGCTCCAAAACATACAGTTTATAAATTACAAAGTATGTGGTTCTGTGGTTTCGGTAGACAAAAGAATTTCATTTTTGAAATACGTTCTAGTTAATTACACATCTTAGTGGTATGAATGACTTCCTCTAGCATATTTGTTTTACAAGTTCAGGTGTTGAACTTTTTCATAGCAGGGCATACTTGCCCTGCTGTTTTAAAGCACATCCATTGCAATGAACTAATGTTTTACGTAATAATTCTGATTCACTATAACTAGAAGACATCTTGATAAACGCATATTTGGCCTTTCTAGAACCCCAGTGTATTTCAGACCCTGACAACGAAAACAAGTTAAGCTTTTAGCACAGCCCAATTAAATGTCTAAAAGCTTTTTAAAACCAAGTCTTCAATTTTCTGCAAAGCTAGACCCCTGGCTGTGAGAATGACATTGATGAGCAGTGTTATTGTCCCTGAACTGTCACACTGTACTTGAATCCCATTACAATTTGGTACAGAAAGCAGTCAGAATCAAATGATTAAATCTGAGCTTTGGTTGCTGTCAAAGTTTCAAGTGGCCACATAAAAGGAGACAAGCCTATGTTGTCAGCACCTAGAACTGACATAAATGTGCTGAAGGAATGGGTAATTAATTATCTTGTGTAGATTAGAGCACTGAGCACAGAGTGGTTCATGATGGGTCTTTATCTCTGGATAGAGCTGGCTGGTGTTAGCAAAAGTTTCTACTGGAGCTGTGCATTGCCTCTGGGAATATGTCAATACTTCCTCTGAATTCCAGTTACTCTTTCCAAAGGCTATAAAACAAGAGTCAATTTTGTGCGGGCCTCCTCGGAAAAGAGAGAAAAACACCCACTGGGCAATTGGTATTATAAAATTATCATACGAACGGTATTTGAGAATGATATGAGAAAAATAGGAAAAATAGGAGGCAGGCGAAACCTATTCTTCCATTTCCAGATAAATGGCAGAGTCTGACAATAAAATTTTATTGTTGATGAAGTTAGAGTGCTTTGATATAACAGTTTCAAGAGAGGTATAGAATGTCACAGATGAATTCTTCAAACCACAGACACCATCTGTGAAAATATACTGAGGGCAGGCATTGATAGAAGGCAGAGAGGACACTGGTCTTGAACTCAAAGTTAGGTTTGAGGATGAGCACTACTACCACTCATCCAGCAAAAGTGATTTTGCTTCCAAATTTTTTTGAGATTTTCATTTTGCTATCACATTATTTTTAAATTTCACAAATCTCCTTTTTTCTCTCAACATTCTTAAGTTTATAACCTTCTGTTCTTATTTTATGGATTAAGTTTTACTACATTACCTCTCTGAGGGTTTCAGTTATTGCTCATTCAAAGCTCCTACCTGCTTACCACATTGTTCCTGTTTCCCTTGAAGTTTTGTGTTTTTGTTTTTACTTTCTATATCTCTTAGATTCTCTTTCACATTAGATACTTTTCTCAAATGTCTTGCAATTGTTGGCTTCTATTCGTTTTAAGAATGAGGCAATAGGAGGGAGGAGCCAAGATGGCCGAATAGGAACAGCTCCCGTCTACAGCTCCCAGCGTGAGCGACGCAGAAGACGGGTGATTTCTGCATTTCCATCTGAGGTACCGGGTTCATCTCACTAGGGAGTGCCAGACAGTGGGCGCAGGCCAGTGTGTGTGCGCACCGTGCGCGAGCTGAAGCAGGGCGAGGCATTGCCTCACCTGGGAAGCGCAAGGGGTTAGGGAGTTCCCTTTCCGAGTAAAAGAAAGGGGTGACGGACACACCTGGAAAATCGGGTCACTCCCACCCGAATATTGCGCTTTTCAGACCGGCTTAAGAAACGGCGCACCACGAGACGATATCCCACACCTGGCTCAGAGGGTCCTACGCCCACGGAATCTCGCTGATTGCTAGCACAGCAGTCTGAGATCAAACTGCAAGGCGGCAACGAGGCTGGGGGAGGGGCGCCCGCCATTGCCCAGGCTTGCTTAGGTAAACAAAGCAGCCGGGAAGCTCGAACTGGGTGGAGCCCACCACAGCTCAAGGAGGCCTGCCTGCCTCTGTAGGCTCCACCTCTGGGGGCAGGGCACAGACAAACAAAAAGACAGCAGTAACCTCTGCAGACTTAAGTGTCCCTGTCTGACAGCTTTGAAGAGAGCAGTGGTTCTCCCAGCACGCAGCTGGAGATCTGAGAACGGGCAGACTGCCTCCTCAAGTGGGTCCCTGACCCCTGACCCCCGAGCAGCCTAACTGGGAGGCACCCCCCAGCAGGGGCACACTGACACCTCACACGGCAGGGTATTCCAACAGACCTGCAGCTGAGGGTCCTGTCTGTTAGAAGGAAAACTAACAACCAGAAAGGACATCTACACCGAAAACCCATCTGTACATCACCATCATCAAAGACCAAAAGTAGATAAAACCACAAAGATGGGGAAAAAACAGAACAGAAAAACTGGAAACTCTAAAACGCAGAGCGCCTCTCCTCCTCCAAAGGAACGCAGTTCCTCACCAGCAACAGAACAAAGCTGGATGGAGAATGATTTTGACGAGCTGAGAGAAGAAGGCTTCAGACGATCAAATTACTCTGAGCTACGGGAGGACATTCAAACCAAAGGCAAAGAAGTTGAAAACTTTGAAAAAAATTTAGAAGAATGTATAACTAGAATAACCAATACAGAGAAGTGCTTAAAGGAGCTGATGGAGCTGAAAACCAAGGCTCGAGAACTACGTGAAGAATGCAGAAGCCTCAGGAGCCGATGCGATCAACTGGAAGAAAGGGTATCAGCAATGGAAGATGAAATGAATGAAATGAAGCGAGAAGGGAAGTTTAGAGAAAAAAGAATAAAAAGAAATGAGCAAAGCCTCCAAGAAATATGGGACTATGTGAAAAGACCAAATCTACGTCTGATTGGTGTACCTGAAAGTGACGTGGAGAATGGAACCAAGTTGGAAAACACTCTGCAGGATATTATCCAGGAGAACTTCCCCAATCTAGCAAGGCAGGCCAACGTTCAGATTCAGGAAATACAGAGAACGCCACAAAGATACTCCTCGAGAAGAGCAACTCCAAGACACATAATTGTCAGATTCACCAAAGTTGAATTGAAGGAAAAAATGTTAAGGGCAGCCAGAGAGAAAGGTCGGGTTACCCTCAAAGGAAAGCCCATCAGACTAACAGCGGATCTCTCGGCAGAAACCCTACAAGCCAGAAGAGAGTGGGGGCCAATATTGAACATTCTTAAAGAAAAGAATTTTCAACCCAGAATTTCATATCCAGCCAAACTAAGCTTCATAAGTGAAGGAGAAATAAAATACTTTATAGACAAGCAAATGCTGAGAGATTTTGTCACCACCAGGCCTGCCCTAAAAGAGCTCCTGAAGGAAGCGCTAAACATGGAACAACCGGTACCAGCCGCTGCAAAATCATGCCAAAATGTAAAGACCATCGAGACTAGGAAGAAACTGCATCAACTAATGAGCAAAATAACCAGCTAACATCATAATGACAGGATCAAATTCACACATAACAATATTAACTTTAAATATAAATGGACTAAATTCTGCAATTAAAAGACACAGACTGGCAAGTTGGATAAAGAGTCAAGACCCATCAGTGTGCTGTATTCAGGAAACCCATCTCACGTGCAGAGACACACATAGGCTCAAAATAAAAGGATGGAGGAAGATCTACCAAGCCAATGGAAAACAAAAAAAGGCAGGGGTTGCAATCCTAGTCTCTGATAAAACAGACTTTAAACCAACAAAGATCAAAAGAGACAAAGAAGGCCATTACATAATGGTAAAGGGATCAATTCAACAAGAGGAGCTAACTATCCTAAATATTTATGCACCCAATACAGGAGCACCCAGATTCATAAAGCAAGTCCTGAGTGACCTACAAAGAGACTTAGACTCCCACACATTAATAATGGGAGACTTTAACACCCCACTGTCAACATTAGACAGATCAACGAGACAGAAAGTCAACAAGGATACCCAGGAATTGAACTCAGCTCTGCCCCAAGCAGACCTAATAGACATCTACAGAATTCTCCACCCCAAATCAACAGAATATACATTTTTTTCAGCACCACACCACACCTATTCCAAAATTGACCACATAGTTGGAAGTAAAGCTCTCCTCAGCAAATGTAAAAGAACAGAAATTATAACAAACTATCTCTCAGACCACAGTGCAATCAAACTAGAACTCAGGATTAAGAATCTCACTCAAAACCGCTCAACTACATGGAAACTGAACAACCTGCTCCTGAATGACTACTGGATACATAACGAAATGAAGGCAGAAATAAAGATGTTCTTTGAAACCAACGAGAACAAAGACACCACATACCAGAATCTCTGGGACGCATTCAAAGCAGTGTGTAGAGGGAAATTTATAGCACTAAATGCCTACAAGAGAAAGCAGGAAAGATCCAAAATTGACACCCTAACATCACAATTAAAAGAACTAGAAAAGCAAGAGCAAACACATTCAAAAGCTAGCAGAAGGCAAGAAATAACTAAAATCAGAGCAGAACTGAAGGAAATAGAGACACAAAAAACCCTTCAAAAAATCAATGAATCCAGGAGCTGGTTTTTTGAAAGGATCAACAAAATTGATAGACCGCTAGCAAGACTAATAAAGAAAAAAAGAGAGAAGAATCAAATAGACACAATAAAAAATGATAAAGGGGATATCACCACCGATCCCACAGAAATACAAACTACCATCAGAGAATACTACAAACACCTCTATGCAAATAAACTAGAAAATCTAGAAGAAATGGATACATTCCTTGACACATACACTCTCCCAAGACTAAACCAGGAAGAAGTTCAATCTCTGAATAGACCAATTAACAGGCTCTGAAATTGTGGCAATAATCAATAGTTTACCAACCAAAAAGAGTCCAGGACCAGATGGATTCACAGCCGAATTCTACCAGAGGTACAAGGAGGAACTGGTACCATTCCTTCTGAAACTATTCCAATCAATAGAAAAAGAGGGAATCCTCCCTAACTCATTTTATGAGGCCAGCATCATTCTGATACCAAAGCCGGGCAGAGACACAACCAAAAAAGAGAATTTTAGACCAATATCCTTGATGAACATTGATGCAAAAATCCTCAATAAAATACTGGCAAACCGAATCCAGCAGCACATCAAAAAGCTTATCCACCATGATCAAGTGGGCTTCATCCCTGGGATGCAAGGCTGGTTCAATATACGCAAATCAATAAATGTAATCCAGCATATAAACAGAGCCAAAGACAAAAACCACATGATTATCTCAATAGATGCAGAAAAAGCCTTTGACAAAATTCAACAACCCTTCATGCTAAAAACTCTCAATAAATTAGGTATTGATGGGACGTATTTCAAAATAATAAGAGCTATCTATGACAAACCCACAGCCAATATCATACTGAATGGGCAAAAACTGGAAGCATTCCCTTTGAAAACTGGCACAAGACAGGGATGCCCTCTCTCACCACTCCTATTCAACATAGTGTTGGAAGTTCTGGCCAGGGCAATCAGGCAGGAGAAGGAAATAAAGGGTATTCAATTAGGAAAAGAGGAAGTCAAATTGTCCCTGTTTGCAGACGACATGATTGTTTATCTAGAAAACCCCATCGTCTCAGCCCAAAATCTCCTTAAGCTGATAAGCAACTTCAGCAAAGTCTCAGGATACAAAATCAATGTACAAAAATCACAAGCATTCTTATACACCAACAACAGACAAACAGAGAGCCAAATCATGAGTGAACTCCCATTCACAATTGCTTCAAAGAGAATAAAATACCTAGGAATCCAACTTACAAGGGATGTGAAGGACCTCTTCAAGGAGAACTACAAACCACTGCTCAAGGAAATAAAAGAGGACACAAACAAATGGAAGAACATTCCATGCTCATGGGTAGGAAGAATCAATATCGTGAAAATGGCCATACTGCCCAAGGTAATTTACAGATTCAATGCCATCCCCATCAAGCTACCAATGACTTTCTTCACAGAATTGGAAAAAACTACTTTAAAGTTCATATGGAACCAAAAAAGAGTCCGCATCGCCAAGTCAATCCTAAGCCAAAAGAACAAAGCTGGAGGCATCACACTACCTGACTTCAAACTATACTACAAGGCTACAGTAACCAAAACAGCATGGTACTGGTACCAAAACAGAGATATAGATCAATGGAACAGAACAGAGCCCTCAGAAATAATGCCACATATCTACAACTATCTGATCTTTGACAAACCTGAGAAAAACAAGCAATGGGGAAAGGATTCCCTATTTAATAAATGGTGCTGGGAAAACTGGCTAGCCATATGTAGAAAGCTGAAACTGGATCCCTTCCTTACACGTTATACAAAAATCAATTCAAGATGGATTAAAGATTTAAACGTTAGACCTAAAACCATAAAAACCCTAGAAGAAAACCTAGGCATTACCATTCAGGACATAGGCATGGGCAAGGACTTCATGTCCAAAACACCAAAAGCAATGGCAACAAAAGCCAAAATTGACAAATGGGATCTAATTAAACTAAAGAGCTTCTGCACAGCAAAAGAAACTACCATCAGAGTGAACAGGCAACCTACAACATGGGAGAAAATTTTCGCAACCTACTCATCTGACAAAGGGCTAATATCCAGAATCTACAATGAATTCAAACAAATTTACAAGAAAAAAACAAACAACCCCATCAAAAAGTGGGCGAAGGACATGAACAGACACTTCTCAAAAGAAGACATTTATGCAGCCAAAAAACACATGAGGAAATGCTCATCATCACTGGCCATCAGAGAAATGCAAATCAAACCCACTATGAGATATCATCTCACACCAGTTAGAATGGCAGTCATTAAAAAGTCAGGAAACAACAGGTGCTGGAGAGGATGTGGAGAAATAGGAACACTTTTACACTGTTGGTGGGACTGTAAACTAGTTCAACCATTGTGGAAGTCAGTGTGGCAATTCCTCAGGGATCTAGAACTAGAAATACCATTTGACCCAGCCATCCCATTACTGGGTATATACCCAAAGGACTATAAATCATGCTGCTATAAAGACACATGCACACGTATGTTTATTGCGGCACTATTCACAATAGCAAAGACTTGGAACCAACCCAAATGTCCAACAATGATAGACTGGATTAAGAAAATGTGGCACATATACACCATGGAATACTATGCAGCCATAAAAAATGATGAGTTCATGTCCTTTGTAGGAACATGGATGAAATTGGAAACCATCATTCTCAGTAAACTATCGCAAGAACAAAAAACCAAACACCGCATATTCTCACTCATAGGTGGGAATTGAACAATGAGATCACTTGGACACAGGAAGGGGAATATCACACTCTGGGGACTGTGGTGGGGTCGGGGGAGGGGGGAGGGATAGCATTGGGAGATATACCTAATGCTAGATGACACGTTAGTGGGTGCAGCACACCAGCATGGCACATGTATACATATGTAACTAACCTGCACAATGTGCACATGTACCCTAAAACTTAGAGTATAATAAAAAAAAAAAAAGAAAAAAAAAAAAAAGAATGAGGCAATAAAATGTTAGTCAATTACTGTGTATAAATGAAAAAGCCATATCAATGAATAGCCTATCAAAAATGTCCCCTCTGCCCACCCTCAGTTGCTAGCATGTGTAAGTCCTTGGTTTAGTCAGTTTACTCTTTGAAAGGTGTAAACTTTTATACCAGCATTCTGGAGAAGTGAGCAGGAATTTCACCATTTACTTATTGCCTATATTTTCAATATAGCACACCAACCTCAGCTCTGCCTAAGGGTTGAGTCCAGAATCTTTTGATTAAGTCTTTTCAGAGAGTAAACCTCTGACTTATTACGGATTTGGAGAGATTTCTGAGGTTCTCAATGCAATTTTTTTTGTCTGTTTTGTTTTGGTTTGTTTTGTTTTAGATGGAGTCTCGCCCTGTCACCCAGGCTGGAGTGCAGTGCCGCAAACTGGGCTCACTGCAAGCTCTGCCTCCTGTGTTCAGGTGATTCTCATGCCTCAGTCTCTGGAGTAGCTGGAACTACAGGCACCTGCCACCACGCCCAGCTAAGTTTTTGTGTTTTTAGTAGAGATGCGTTTTTACCATGTTGGCCAGGCTGGTCTTGAACTCCTGACCTCAAGTGATCCACCCGCCTCAGCCTCCAAAGTGCTGGGATTACAGGTGTGAGCCACTGCACCTACCTGGCCTCTCAATGCATTTTGTTCCAATTTTCAATCAATCCCTTATTTTTATACCCCATTTGTTATCCTGCTCTGTTACAGGAGGTGTCCCCAATTCCTGAGCTTTTCTGTGGATCAGATTGGTTTCCCCCAACGGCTGGCAGTAAGGTCACCTTTCTCAGGTCTACTTGTTAGTCACTTCTTATCTACTAGCTTTGTAGTTTGCCAAGTTTTGCGTTGTCTTCTTCTCTGTTCTCTTTTTCTTTGTGGGTTTGTACCCTTTAAAAAATCTGCTGTCATCTAGTGGGGTTTGGGGAAGGAAATAACAAACATACATGTTCCATCTGCCATGTGTAACTGGTTTCCGTGTTTTATCCTTTAGTGTTGCTTTTTAAAAAATCTGGTTGTAAAAGTAATGTATATTATTGTAGGCAATTTTTAATTAAATTATAAATTATAATAAAAATACAGAAGCCTATTTTCTTAGGGCAATTAACATATTATTATTTCCTGAAGTCATTTTTTGGCTAGAATTAAGTTTTACATAGTTGAGACGATTTTGTTTCTCATTTCTTTTATTTTTTAATCAACACTATATGGATTTTCCATGTTATTAAAACAATTTGTAAACACTATTTTTATAAACTCCATTATCTTGATTTCAGCATACTGCCATTTATTTAGCTATGTGTCTATTGGACATTTGGAATGTTTACCTTTTCTTATCTTCTTAAATGAAAAAAAGGGAATGAAAATCTGTATATAAAGCATTTTTATTTTACATTTTGAAATATTTCCTGACAGAGCAGGAGCACCGTCGTCTCGGACAAACATCACCGCTTTAAGTTCCAGCTCCCTTTCTAGACTCATGCATTTCAAGGAAATCTCTTCTAACTACAAGCCAACAGAAAGAGCAGAAAGTAAAACACAGATAAGACAGCTTGGGCACAGAGGGAAATAGGAGGAAAGTCTCTTGGATAACTGCCAAACTTCCCTCTCATACAATGGGCCTCACTAAAACAGTGGGCCTTAATAAGCACATTCCTTTCCTTTCAGGTGCACTAAGATAGGGAAGCTAAAAGCAGATTCAAGGGATATGCCTGCAGCTGCAGAAAGAAGTATGGAAACAGACACAAAACTCTCCCCTCTAGATAAGCACAACAGAGAGACACAGAAGGAGAGTCCCAGCCTCTGATAAACTCTCCCACCCCGAACCCCTAAAAACTCTTAGTCTGTAAGCGAGTGTGGCTCTGACCTAGCTTGGCCAGAAGCCCCTCTCAGCTTTATTTAAAATAAACCTGTCCTTGTTGACTGTAAAGCCACCCTTCGTGTTTCTCTCCTCTTTCTTTAATTCTTACATTTCCAAAGACTAAATTCCAGGAAGTGAAATTATTGAGCCAAAAAATAACATTATTAAGGCCATTAATAGATATTAAAACAAGTATTATATATTTCAGCATTTTTTGGAAATGAACTCATCAGCAGAGTAGATACTTAGCTATTCCTAATTATGTAGCATTCTCTTGTCTCCTACCATATCATGGAGAAGCCAAATGGCAGCTAATGGCCATTGTCTGGCTTTACCTCTTCCCCTGTTCTCATGGCCAAGGCTGCCTCTGTCATTTGCAGGGCCTTAGGTCAAAGAACAAATGCAGACTCCAGTCTATAGATCTCCTACCTCTGCTTGTTATACCTGGCTCTGGCCTGGAGTACATATGTGCAAGTGGTCCCAACGGCTTATCCAAGTGAATCCATACCTTACCTACCCACATCTTGGATGTTTCTCAGGGCTTGGGGTGTCCACAACATAGTCTACCTTTGGGAGAAAAGACTTGAGCCAGGGAATTTTAAGATTTCAGTCCTCAGAATACTATTTGGGATGGAAGGTGGAGGTCATGCGCTCTAGGTAGGCCCTTCTTGTCCCATGGAGGCTGCCTTAGGGGGAGGGGTACAGCAGTAGACAGACCATTGTGGTTGCCTCCAAAGCGCAGGACCCATGTTGGGGGACCTTGTAGCCTACGTCTAAAGGCAGCATTACTTATAGCCTTTGCTAAGCTGTGCTTTGAAAACGGAATAATGGGACTAATCAGCCATGAGAATGAAGCAGCAGTCTGCCTTTCCTCCAAACATGGTCCATTTTAGCCTGGGATGGTAGGCAGTGGACGTGGGGAGGAAAAGGAACAGAGTAGTGTCTTGTTCTTTTTCTCCAAGCAAAAATAGATTGATAACCTAACACCACTACATCCAGTTCTCCTCTATGTGAGTGAAAAATAGACTCCACTAAATATAGCACTGTAGTAGGTTGGTGATATGGTTTGGCTGTGTTCCCACCCAGATCTCATCTTGTAATTGTAACTCCCACAATTCCCATGTGTCATAGGAGAAACCTGGTGGGAGGTAATTGAATCATGGGGGTGGGTCTTTCCTGTGCTGTTTTCATGATAGTGATTAAGTCTCACGAGATCTGACAGTGCAGTTTCCCTGCACAAGCTCTCTCTTTTTGCCTGCCTCCATTCATGTAAGATGTGACTTGCCCCTTCTTGCCTTCTGCCATGGTTGTGAGGCCTCCCCAGCCACATGGAACTGTAAGTCCATTAAACATCTTTTTCTTTCCAGTCTCGGGTATGTCTTTATCAGCAGCCTGAAAATTAACTAATACAGTTGGCCACCCAAAGATATTAAATCCCAGTACCTGGGACTTGTAAATGGTACTTTATTTAGAGAAAGAATCTTTGCTGGTGCAATTAAGTTAAGGATTCTTAGATGGGGAGATTATCTTTCATTATCTGAGTGGTCCCCAAATGCCATCACAAATATTCTTAAAAGAGACAAAAAGAGATAATACAGACACATAGAGGAGAAGGCGATATGAAGACAGAGTAGAGAGAGAGATGCAGCCATAAGCTACGAAATGCTAGTAGCTGCTGGAAGCTGCAACAGCCACAGAACAGATTCTCCCTAGAGCCTCCAGACAGAGTGTAGCCCTGCTGACACTTTGATTATGGACTTCTGCCTCCATAACTGTGAGGGAATAACTTTTTGTTGTTTTAAGCCACCCAGTTTATAGGAGCCATGGGAAACTAATGCAAGAATTATTAAATGAAAACTGTGGTTATCACCTTCCTTCAACCCCTAATACATGGATTTCAAAAAGCAGTGGAATTCTTAGGTCATGTTTTGTCTGGTCAAGGATTTTTGCAGAACAACAGGTAAAAAATTTTAATATCTTGCGTATGTGTCACTCAGGACAAGGATACCATAATTCCTGGGATTGTTGCATATTACCAGATATCAGTTCCTAATTTCTATTCCCCTAAGCAACATAATGAAAAGACTCTAGAGTTTTGAAATTAGACCTTGGCTTAACTGTTAGCTCTATGACTTACTAGTTTTGTGATCTTGGGCATATTATCTAACCTCTTAACTTGCAACATGGAAACAAACTTATCCTGGTCCCACTGTCACAGACACTTTATTAGGAACCATGTATTCTTCATGAAGATCTCCGTTGATGAAGTCTAAGCTTCATATATGTGTTCCTTTAATGCAGGCCAGGGCCTCATAAACTCTAGGTACTCAGTAAGGATTGTAGGATGAAAAATATGTTTTTCAAATTTTGGATTATTTGATTCATATTAAAATTTTATAGCTTAACATAGTTCTTAAACCAAAGGAATAACTCTTTAATGGTAGAAACTTATACATTATGGATAGCTAGTAAGGATAATTTTTTTTAGAAGAATAGCGTTTTATGTGTATCTTTCAGGAACAATCTATCCATAAATTAGCCCTTTTATGATTATTTCTGTTTCATTAGGTACACACACACACACACACACACACACACACAGACACACACACACACACATGGGAGAGGACCAAAGGAGTGCAGTTATTAAAATAATAAAGGATTTATCCTTTTATATTATTGCAGTCTGGAAGGGTTTACATTTAGAGCAAGTTTTATTTCCCTTTCTGTGAGAGAGAAATAAATTGAAATCCATGAGGGATAAACAATCCCCCTTATAGATCTTAAAGAGTGGAGTTGTGAACACTAAAATTTCCATGAACAGCAGCAGACAATCCCCAACTTATTAAATGGGATGGAGGCCAACATTCACAGCTACTTTTCTGCACTTTGCAGAAGTAGCCTGTCAAAGGAATCAGTCTTAATCTCTATTTCGGGGCATATGCTCCTTTTGACTTAGTTTGGAATTAAAATACTTATCACTAAACATTTTCAAATGCCCACTTTTAAACTTAATATGACTCTTAACATTTTATCACTGCTTTTGGAGGATCTGTAGGAGGTGGGGTTGAATTGCAAAATGATCATAGTGATAATAGTTCTTGCTGCTATAGAAGTATTACGGAGTGATAAGAAATGAATTCCCTGATGTGTGGACCAGAGGTGTTGCTGCTGGGAGGTCAAACAGCTGATTTCCTTTGTTTCTTTGTTCTGTGGCAAAGGGAGGATGATAAACAGGTAGATTCAGAAATTGAAAGCATCAAGAAACTGGAACTTGGTGTTCAAGTGGCTAGACGGTTATACAAGCTGGAATACCTCTTTTAAAAAAGGAAATTTTGGCTGAGACAATAGGAGTGGAACAGAGTCAGTGGTGTTGTGACAGATGTCTAGCAGCCACTCTCTGGAAAAAGAGACTCTTTTTTTTTTGGAAGTATTTGCTGATAATGTTTGTTCAGTAAATACTCCCAGGATGGCTGATTTTAAGCTTCCAGTGTGATGTCAACTGGCTCACAGAATTTCTGAAACTTTAGCATTTGACTCTGGCAAGCTGGTACAAGCTGGATTCAGCCCACCATTGGAAGGGTACATGCTGAAATGGGCTGTTGTTTTTCTCCTGCTGGAATCCTCCAGTACAAGCGAAAGTGGTTTAGTGGAATAGGTCAAGTCTACTAGCATAGCGTCTTGGAGCATATTTGGACATTGGGAGGTCAGGAAACTGTGCGGCAGTATTTCTAATGTGTGTTTGACCTCACACATGAATTGTTGTAGGTAGTAGCATTTTAAGCATGTGTTGGTGTGGGTGCAAGGTTATTGTGAGTTTCGTGGACCATTTAAATGGCTCTGAGGACTAACCAGGATGGCATCATGAGGCATATGTCTTTTGTGGACAGTGACCAAGTATATTGTGTTCTGTCCTTGTAGAACCAGGTAACAGCTTTTTTGCCTCTAGAGACACCAGGAAACATATATATATTTTTCATCATACTTTAAGTTCTAGGGTATGTGTACACAACGTGCAGGTTTGTTACATATGCATACATGTGCCATGTTGGTGTACTGCACCCATTAACTTTTCATTTACATTAGGTATATCTCCCAATGCTATCCCTCCCCCCTTCCCCCACCCCACAACAGGCCCTGGTGTATGATGTTCCCCTTCCTGTGTCCAAGTGTTCTCATTGTTCAATTCCCACCTATGAGTGAGAACATGCGGTGTCTGGTTTTTTGTCCTTGCGATAGTTTGCTGAGAATGATGGTTTCCAGCTTCATCCATGTCCCTACCAAGGATGTGAACTCATCCTTTTTAATGGCTGCATAGTATTCCATGGTGTATATGTGCCACATTTTCTTAATCCAGTCTATCATTGATGGACATTTGGGTTGGTTCCAAGTCTTTGCTATTGTGAATAGTGCTGCAGTGAGCATACATGTGCATGTGTCTTTATAGCAGCAGGATTTATAATCCTTTGGGTATATACCCAGTAATGGGATGGCTGGGTCAAATGGTATTTCTAGTTCTAGATCCCTGAGGAATCGCTACACTGACTTCCACAATGGTTGAACTAGTTTACAGTCCCACCAACAGTGTAAAAGTGTTCCTATTTCTCCACATCCTCTCCAGTACCTGTTGTTTCCTGACTTTTTAATGATCGCCATTCTAACTGGTGTGAGATGGTATCTCATTGTGGTTTTGATTTGCATTCCTCTGATGGCCAGTGATGATGAGCATTTTTTCATGTGTCTGTTGGCTGCATAAATGTCTTCTTTTGAGGAACGTCTGTTCATATCCTTCACCCACTTTTTGATGAGGTTTTTTTTCTTGTAAATTTGAGTTCTTTGTAGATTCTGGATATTAGCCCTTTGTCAGATGAGTAGATTGCAAAAATTTTCTCCCATGTTGTAGGTTGCCTGTTCACTCTGATGGTAGTTTCTTTTGCTGTGCAGAAGCTCTTTAGTTTAATTAGATCCCATTTGTCAATTTTGGCTTTTATTGCCATTGCTTTTGGTGTTTTAAACATGAAGTCGTTGGCCGTGCATATGTCCTGCATGGTATTGCCTAGGTTTTCTTCTAGGGTTTTTATGGTTTTAGGTCTAACATGTAAGTCTTTAATCCATCTTGAATTAATTTTTGTATAAGGTGTAAGGAAGGGATCCAGTTTCAGCTTTCTACATATGGCTAGCCAGTTTTCCCAGCACCATTTATTAAATAGGGAATCCTTTCCCCATTTCTTGTTTTTGTCAGGTTTGTCAAAGATCAGATGGTTGTAGATGATTGGTATTATTTCTGAGGGCTCTATTTCTGTTTTGGTATCAGTCTATATTTCTGTTTTGGTATCAGTACCATGCTGTTTTGGTTACTGTAGCCCTATAGTATAGTTTGAAGTCAGGTAGTGTGATGCCTCCAACTTTGTTATTTTGGCTTAGGATTGACTTGGCAATGCAGGCTCTTTTTTGGTTCCATATGAACTTGAAAGTAGTTTTTTCCAATTCTGTGAAGAAAGTCATTGGTAGCTTGATGGGGATGGCATTGAATCTATAAATTACCTTGGGCAGTATGGCCATTTTCACGATATTGATTCTTCCTATCCATGAGCATGGAATGTTCTTCCATTTATTTGTGTCCTCTTTTATTTCATTGAGCAGTGGTTTGTAGTTCTCCTTGAAGAGGTCCTTTACCTCCCTTGTAAGTTGGATTCCTAGGTATTTTATTCTCTTTGAAGCAATTGTGAATGGGAGTTCACTCATGATTTGGCTCTCTGTTTGTCTGTTATTGGTGTATAAGAATGCTTGTGATTTTTGCACATTGATTTTGTATCCTGAGACTTCGCTGAAGTTGCTTATTAGCTTAAGGAGATTTTGGGCTGAGACGGTGGGGTTTTCTAGATATACAGTCATGTCATATGCAAACAGGGAGACAATTTGACTTCCTCTTTTCCTAATTGAATACCATTTATTTCTTTCTCCTGCCTGATTGCCCTGGCCAGAACTTCCAAAACTATGCTGAATAGGAGTGGGAAACACTCATATTTGTCCCATTGTTGTTAAGCATTTGTTCAGGGGTAACATAAGAGTGCATCTAGCTGCTGTGGGGCTGTAGACCTATACCTATACTGGTTTCTGCGTCTAGATCTACTGACAGAATGCATTCCTCCTTATTATGCTACTTTTGCTTCTGAGAAAGGACATTTGTATGGAAACTGGTGAACAAATGGAGAAATGTGACTGCCGGCATACACTGAAATTCTAAGTTTCTCAATTACTCTGGGTGGCAGAGGAAGGTCTTAACACATCTTCAAGGGGCACCGTATTTCTTGGGGTAATTCCTCCATTCCTTGGAGGTACTAAAAATTAACCACATGTGTTAGCTACTATAATTGACTATAGCTGAGACTCACTGGAGAAATAGGGAAAGAAAGAGGTCATTAGAGCTGTTATTTTCCTGTATTGAATGATCTACACTGCTATTTTTGAGTTCTCAAGTTTGATAGTGAACAGCTGAACTGGGTTAGGTTGGCAATGCTAAGGAAAGGGGGGAACAAGCTCTTTAGTTTCCACAAGACCATCACAAACATCAAACATACAGCCAAGCCTACTTGGCTTATTAAACATGTCTTTTATTGGGCCAAATAAAATGTTGAATTAGATGATCTCCCAAAATATCTAGGAATTCTAGGATGTCTTTATTCCAGACAACTGCCCTTAGAACTGAGAGCAGCTCTTGAAAGACTTTTCTCAGGCTTGACCTGGATGAAAAGCTGCCACAGAGAATTAAGATCTCAGACCAGAAGGGTGTGGTAAGGTTAAAAAAATGCTACCTAGTCATGTTAGTATTCATCCAGGAAAACAATACAGCAGTCCCTTCATTAATTTCTGAAAGATTTTTAGTACATACTGCTGGCCAGATAGCACTGAAAGACATTAAACTTTGCTAAGAGTATCTGGGAGGACATCTCCCTCCCATCATCTTCTGAGAATGAAGGAACGTGGAGGTCCAGCTCTGGAATATCTATGACTTGTGGAGCTGAATGACATTCATCTCTTTGAAGTCTTTGCAATCTTGGGTTTTAGGCTTTAAAGGGAAGAATACCTGGCTTGACTGAATTGTAGGCACCAGGAGATGTTGTGGTTGCCTTGTGATTTGAGGGCAAGCTCCATGTCTAACACCTCCTCAAAGGTAGGGTGTTGTATTTAGTATACATGTGATCACCTCTGGAGTGATTGATGGAAAAATTATTATCTAGTGAAATATAGCATAGACCTTGAGGAAGTCTGAGAGGTAAGTGACAGATGATCCCAGGCTATTGGCTTTGTTTTTTATGGGACTATGTAAGGAGATTCCAGAGGGTGGTTGATTCTCCCCAGAGGAAGGAATTCTTTCATCAGAGTTTACTCACGGGAGATGGCCTTGACAGGCAGCTGAGACCCGCACCAGGGCCTGGTTCTCTAAGTTGCCTAATCCCTCAGAGTCCATCAGTGCCTTCTAGTAGAGGCATGATACCTCTCTTGTTAATCCCATGGCTGAGAGGTGAAATGCAGTGGGGCTGCAGTGCAGGGGTCAGCTCATCTGCCCCTCCTTCCAGGTAGAGTTTCTGTTGGGAGGATAGGTACCTGCAGAGTGACCTGTCACCAAATGCATGTATAGCCATCTGGCCCGGTTGATCCTACTTACTGGGGCCAATTTGATATGGACTCAATTGGATGTAGTTTAGATTAAGAATATGTTAATGTGTTCAACTGGGCCTCTATCTTTGGATCAAAACTTTAGTTGAAAAAAACTGGGAAGAAAGTGGGAGAATGAAACAATGGGAAGCTTAGAATCTCATGGGCATTCCACAATTAACACTTCCTTGAAGACTTCTTTGAATGGGATTGTAAGAGTTAGTGTGTTTCTTACCATCCAGCTTCCGGGTGATGGGACACCAGCAGCTTGATCAACCAGCAGTCTCCATTAATTCATCCCACTTTTATGGAAAGTAATCTGTTTTTCTGCACAGGGATAAGGCTAAGTGCAAACCGATAGGCTTCAGGGAACTCTGTGTCCCCTGACAGATGTGGGGCTAAAATTTGATGTATTTGGATGACCCACGAACATAGTTTAGTGTCTATACAAGGAGAAACACATTAAGAGG
This sequence comes from Homo sapiens, assembly GCF_000001405.40. Lineage (NCBI taxonomy): Eukaryota > Metazoa > Chordata > Mammalia > Primates > Hominidae > Homo > Homo sapiens. Next base: position 76,602,793 of record NC_000013.11, on the reverse strand, counting down.
AAAGAGTTCAGTGGAATCATAGCATGGTTGTGTGGGATGGGGAGAAGTAACCACAGTGGCTCTGGAAAGAATATTTGCAAATGCAGAGCTAGTACTCTCTCATGGTTACCAGCAGCTAGACTAATCAGTGTCAGGGGTGGGCATTTGACTTACGTGAACAGAGAGCACAATGTGCTGTGTCTTCTTATGGAAGCCGTGCTACTCTGTGGGAGCAGTGACAGGAAGGCTTTGGTTTGTAGTTCTGATGGGGGGACGCTGGAAGGCCCAATTCAGAAGTTGTGCCCTGGATGGTGTTGAATTACAAATGTGAAATATCAAGCCCAAACCAGCTGTCATCTTAAGGTCATTGATTTAAGGATGGAGAGAAGGAGCCAAGTAGGGAGACAATATGGAAGTAGAGAAATCAAGAAGGTGAGGCTTTGCGTAGTGGAGTAAAGGAACAGAAAGGTCTTTGGAATTGTCCTAGAAAGAGCCAGATAGTAGAGGATTTTGGCTTTGAGGCTGTACAGTCTCTGTCCCAAGTTGTGGCACAAAAGCAGCCACAGACAATATGCAAATAAATGGCCTTGGCCGTGTTACAATAAAATATTACAAAAATTGGAGGGGGATTGGATTGATCCCACAGGCCACAATTTGCTGAACCCTGTTTTGACATAGTATGCCAAAGTGCAAACAGCTGGGGGGGGCTTCTAAATAGGTCCTTCATTGGTTTGCATGGCCACTTTGGTTTATATAAAGGGCACTGAGAGGGATCTGTTGGGTGGCACGTCATGCCTGTTTCTTTTTTTTTTTTTTTGAGACTGAGTCTTGCTCTGTTTCCCAGGCTGGAGTGCAGTGGTGTGATCTCGGCTCACTGCAACCTCCACCTACTGGGTTCAGGTGATTCTCCTGCCTCAGCCTCCTGAGTAGCTGGGATTACAGGTGCACGCCAGCAGGCCTGGCTAATTTTTGTATTTTTGGTAGAGATGGGGTTTCACCATATTGGTCAGGCTGGTCGCAAACTCCTGACCTCGTGATCAGCCCGCTTTGGCCTCCCAAAGTGCTGGGATTACAGGCATGAACCACAGTGCCCAGCCCATGCTTGTTTCTTTATTGACTTTATTTTAGGTTTTAGTATCTTTCATGATGCTAATGAGAGCAGAAGATTTTAAGAAATGACAACTGATGGTCAATGTTAAGTATAAAATTCTTTCTGTATTTAAATTCTCTTAGAAGAAGTATGACAACTTGTGTAAGAGGGTAAAACATGTTTAAAATAACTTCATTTGTTTTAATTTTAGAAGAAATAACTGATTTTTTTCCTTTAGACATTTCCCTCTTTTCCAAAAAGTGGGAAATAAACCATGCACTTCTGATGAAAAGGAACACATTAGTCTTTACTTTAGTTTTTTGGGATTTTTACTAGCAGTAGCCATTAGGTACATTCTTGACAAGTGATATAGACACAGGCTACCAACTCCTACAATTTCTAAGGGAAAATGTCTTCCTGCAAGCTCAGCCAAAGGGCAAAATTGTCATATTTTGGATGTATGACACCTTTCAAATATTTGGATCAGGGTTAGACAATTGACTAAAGTGACTGTATGAGTTTTCCAGAACTGCTATAAGAAAGGTCTATAAACTACATTGCTTAAGACAAACAACAGAAATATATTTCTTCTCTGTTCTGGAGACTAGAGGTACACAGGTAAGGTGCTGGCAGGAAGTCTTTGAGAATCCTTCCTTACATCTTCCCCAAGCATTCTTTGGCTTGTGGATGTGTGACTCCAGTCTCTGCCTCTGTCTTCCCACAGCCATCTTCCCTCTGTGCCGGTGTCTAAATTTCTGGCTTCTTGTAAGGATACCCGTCATAATGGATTAAGGGTCCACCCTAATGACCTCATCTTAACTCAATTACATCAGCAAAGATCCTATTTTCAAATAAGGTTGCATTCACAGGTATTGGGGGTTAGGACTTCATATGTTTTTGTGGCACAGAATTCATTTGATAATACTGACCAAATATGTATGAATCAAGACTAGACATAAAAGAATGAATTGAGCTAACCACATTCCTTGTCTTGGGAATCTGAATCGAAAACAAAAAAGGAATTCTCTTTTTGAAGGGATGTTATAGATCGGGACCGTGGCTATCCAAAGCTATGTGCAAATTGAAATTATAAGGAAGCAGAAAAGCTATGAAGAGGTGGAGAGAGGAAAAGAGAGATATACACAGAAATGGAGCTGAAGAAAGGCAAATGAAAAGAGAAAGAAGAGTTTGCACAGTACCTCAGTTCTTCAACTGAGCATCCTTATATTCAACTTCCTTTTCCCCCAGAGGAGATAACTGCAGTGGCTTTTTATTACTTGAAAACAAAAGAACAAAACCCTAACAAGTGGTTCCTGGTCCAGAAGACTCAGGAAGGTAGGTTTAAGTAGAGAGGTGAGAAAAGGGAAAAGAAGCAATCAGGGAACAGAAACTGCCAACTCCTTTATTTCCTATTTTGTTTCTGTTTTGCTGCTAGTCTTGGCTCTCTGCCATGCATTCTCATAGGCAACATTTCTTGGTAAAATCACATTGACCTTCAAATCCAGCTAGTGCAAAGACTAAGGAAAAGTGCTTATTAATACTACATTTCTTTATTAAGTCATGCATCTTTCATTCTCCTGGGCTTAGTTAGACCAATAAATAAATAGAGTAAGTACACACACACATACACACAGACACACACAGACACACACACAAACACAGACACACACAGATACATGCACATTCTGTCTTTTTGCTTCTCAAATTTACTCTTCAGGCTTGACTAAAATTTCCCTTTCAATTTGTATAATATGAATTTTGTCAGGTCAATAAAAGACAAGGTGGTATAAAAACCAAATTTTACACATCTCCTAATATACATGCCAACAACTTTTATATGGGAAACATTGTCTCAGATGTGCCCTAGACTTGCTATTTAGAGTAGAGAACGCAGCTTCAGGCTCAGGACATACTCTTCCCTGCAACTGGAGACTGATGTCACTCCTAAAGTATCTGCAGACATTAATTATTAAGTTCTATATTAATATCAGTGGTAATAATATTTTCAACACTCTTGTACAATATTCCGTAGAGATAGCAAAATAAATTGCATGTAGCCTCAGCATGTGGCTAAATATTTAATATCTAATGGCCAAGAATGTGGCTCTAATATTTGTTATATTAAAGTTTTCTATATCAAACTCCAGAAAACCTAAACGAAATAGGAATAATTTTAGTTCTCTTTAATGCATTTGCTTTTTGGCACCTTTAAACCTACTCATAAGTGGGAAACATCTTTTTATCTTAAGAGTTTTCAAGACGGAACTTTTCACCCTTGTTCTCTGAAGATAATATTTTTATTCTGGTTTGTGACATTCATCTTAAAGTAGCAGGGCCAAGCTGAATTGTAAAATGTGATTGCTACTTTTAACTTTGCCAAGCAATTTCTAACCAAATGTTTTTATCTCTCAATATTTAACAACAGCTACTTCAGGTGGAAGAGTGTTCCATTTCATTGAGAAGCCTTTTACCAATTGCCAGAGTTTCTTTTATGTGAACCTTGACATATCTCACTAGCTTGGTTGTAAAAATTTTTACAATCATGTTATCTGTCAGCATCTGAGAATGATGCATGAACATTGTCAAGCAGAAGATACATCTTGGAGAACAAACTATATTATGCAGTTGCCTGGCACATTTAAAGCAGAAGTGCTTTATTTTAACTCAAGAAAGAGAGTTTATGTGTTTGATAAATCTGAATTATGTGATAAAAATTCTAATACTGTGAGTAGTTGTCTCTCATATTCTTGAAAAATTTACTTTAATTAGACATTATCACATAAGAAAAAACCAAATACAGAATCATATGACTGAAGTCAATAGAAAATTAGTATGCCAGTATTTGTCTTCCTCTTTATAATTTTTTATTCCCTATAAATCTGGGTTTTCATGTATTGTTATGTTATCATTTATTAATTTCAACTTTATCCTTGTGTTTAAAAGTAAAGAAACCAATTGCACAATAAAGCTCATACTTTTCTTTCAGTTTTAAAAGAAAGAGATGGGAAATAAAAACTAGGTTGTGGTAATTACCATTGAAGAAACCCTTTCAGTTGTTTTATTTTTTGTGCAGATTTGATGTTATTGTATTATGAAGGAAGGAATAATTACTGTATAATTAAATTTGCTCTCTCAGGTGCCACTGTCAATTTATTTTGTCTTATATTTTTAAAAGTTGGCAGACGATATATCCAGTGCTTGCTTTTGGAAAACCAAGCTTGGATCATAAATCTAGTACTAAACCTTTCATTGCAGAACTCAAGCGCTCTAAGCTTTTTTGTTATTTTCCTTTTATTTTGGGGAAAAAACTGATCTCTAATAAACAGATGAGCCCAGATTCTGAAAGCAGACTATCTTATTTCAAATCTTGGCTCTACCGCTTATTAGCTTTATGACCATGGGTAAAGGTATGTAATCTGTCTTTATTTTGGTTTCCTCATGTGTAAAATGAAATAGTAATGTTATGTTTCCCATAGGGTTAAAAGAATGCCTGGTATAAGTTGGTGTTATGTAAGTGTTTGCTCTTTCTATATTTCATGATGAATAGACAACCTGTTTCTCATGGCAAATGTTTGATCATGTACACTTACCTGGTAAGCTCATCTGTCATCTGTTCCCCACAGAGACACTCTGTTGCACAACACAGAATATAATGTGAATGACACCACCTGGGACAGAGCACTGTGCTCTGCATGAATGATGTCTTCTCGTGTTGTGTTATTTTTAGGCCCTGATCCATCTGCTTCTGTTTTATACCTATCATAGAAGACCATGAAGCATTTTGCAGAACTTCCTAATTATAGTCAGAAGAGGAATTTACTGTGCATTCTAGAAAAGGAGAGAAAAAAATCTTCCATTGTAGAAGAAAATTAATGAAATAAATGTATCTATAGTGATGTGACCAAATTGGCCTGAGCAATTTAGCCCATTGCATATTCTGTAATTCATCTAAAATAGAGATATTATTCTGGGGAGACCTCAGGACTATAGTTTGTGCTGCTCAGGTGAGGTAAAGCGTGCATAGGAATTGGTATTATGAAATGTTTTGGTTCCATTATCACCACAGTGTTTCCACTGGGTGTTCACCAGTGGATGTTGCTTTCAGAAGTGTGTCTTTTATAGGGTAAAAAGGCATAAGATATTTTCTTATTCTATAATTTAGGACTTTGACTATGTGCTCCAGAGTAATGAAGTCAGTCATGGTATTAGCATTTCAGAGCTCACCCATGGACACCAATACTCAAGAGACACTGATACTCAGTTGGACTAAATTCAAAGAAACTCTTTGAACTTTAAGTATGGGAATTTGTGTTTATTTTTGTGTTTCAAAACGATAACCACCTGCTGCTTTGCCAGATTCTTGTTTCTTCCAGTCAAAATAATATAGCTCTTAAAAGTTCATTTTCTCAACTAAGAAGCACAATATTAGAAGAAAATGTTCTTTTCTATTTCTTTAATTTCTATTTGTTCCTCAAGTTGATCACCAAATCCTGAGGGTAAAGAAATTTACTTCAATCATCATATATATAGCATGAGGCACATTTAGGAATCTTGTAGTCCATAATCCAATCACATCCTCCTTTTCTGGCCAAAAAAAAAAAAAGACTGTTGTCAATTGTACAGAGAAGACATCTGAAATTTCCTTTTTATAACTTCACATTAGTAACAATCATTTGCAGAAACAGTGTTCAAAAGATGAAGTGCTTCTCCATATTTCCTCAAATAATTATGAAATTACTATGTGCAAATGTTTATAAAGGCTTTAATTAGCACCTTAAGATTTCACATAGAGACCTGTAAATACATGATAGATTGAAATTTGAAAAGTATTTTTTTGAAATGCTTCCCATGCAGAATATTTTTAATTAAGGTCTAACACCTCATTCTGACTACTTTAATTCTAGGAACTTCTGTAACCCTATATCCTAGTTTTGACTATTTCTTTCTGCCTACAATCTTCTTATTGACCATTTTTCCAACTACCTTACTCTTCATTTGCTTGTCATTTCTGTCACTGACCATGGCTTATCCCTGTGATTCTGATTTCTTTTTTCTTGCCATTCATTTCAACAACACTTTAAAATACCTAATGTTCTCGACTTGCTGCCATATTTTCCCATTAAATCATGAATTAATTTTGTTCCACAACCTAAATATTCAATATTTTTTGCTCTCGGATTGCCAGAGAAAGTCAAGCTGATTAGGTGCTCCAAAAATGTATGGCTTGTAATGTTTTATGGGTTCTCAGCATACCCTGCAAGTTAGTTGCTATGGTTGTTGGTCATGTTCCTCATAGCTGCCATTCCAAAAATTGTTTCTCTATCTTCAGACCTGGAAACCCATTCACAGATCCAGATCTTTCTTTCATCCTCACTAAGATGAGTAAAACCATTGGCAAAAACAAACAAAAAGCCCAATTGATTTCCCAACTCATATTCCCTCAGGTATTTCCCATCTTACATTTTCTCTGTATTTTTCCTGTCATCTTATTCTTTGTTCTCATACATTCTTAATTATTTTTTATTATACTTTAAGTTCTGGGATACATGTGCAGAACATGCAGGTTTGTTACATAGGTATATACATGCCGTAGTGGTTTGCTGCACCCACCAACCCGTCATCTACATTAGGTATTTCTCCAATGCTATCCCTCCCCTAGACCCCACCCCCGATAGGCCTCAGTGTGTGATGTTCCCCTCCCTGTGTCCCTGTGTTCTCATTGTTCAACTCCCACTTATGAATGAGAACATGCAGTGTTTGGTTTTCTGTTCTTCTGTTAGTTTGCTGAGAATGATGGTTTCCAGCTTCATCCATGTCCCTGCAAAGGACATGAACTCATTCATTTTTATGGCTGCATAGTATCCCATTGTGTATATGTGCCACATTTTCTTTATCCAGTCAATCATTGGTGGGCATTTGGATTGGTTCCAAGTCTTTGCTATTGTGAACAGTGCCACAATGAACACATGTGTGCATATGTCTTTATAGTAGAATGATTTATCCTTTGGGTATATACCCAGTAATGGGATTGCTGAGTCAAATGGTGTTTCTGGTTTTAGATCCTTGAGGAATCTCCACACTGTCTTCCACAATGGTTGAACTAATTTACACTCCCACCAACAGTGTAAAAGCGTTCCTATTTCTCCACATTCTCTCCAGCATCCGTTGTTTCCTGACTTTTTAATGATCACCATCCTAACTGGCGTGAGATGTCATCTCATTGTGGTTTTGATTTGCATTTCTCTAATGACCAGTGATGATCTTTTTTTCATATGTTTGTCAGCCACATAAATTTCTTCTTTTGAGAAGTGTCTGTTCATATCCTTCACCCACTTTTTGATGGGATTTTTTTTTTTCTTGTAAATTTAAATTCCTTGTAGATTCTGGATATTAACCCTTTGTCAGGTAGATAGATTGCAAAATTTTTCTCCCATTCTGTAGGTTGCCTGTTCACTCTGATGATAGTTTCTTTTGCTGTGCAGAAGCTCTGTAGTTTAATTAGATCCCATTTGTCAGTTTTGGCTTTTGTTGCCATTGCTTTTGGTGTTTTAGGCTTGAAGTCTTTTCCTATCCCTGTGTCCTGAATGGTATTGCCCAGGTTTTCTTCTAGGGTTTTTATGGTTTTATGTCTTACGTTTAAGTGTTTAATCCATCTCGAGTTAATTTTTGTATAAGCTGTAAGGAAGGGGTCCAATTTCAGTTTTCTGCATATGGCTAGCCATTTTCCCAACACCATTGATTAAATAGGGAATCCATTCCCCATTGCTTGTTTTTGTCAGGTTTGTCAAAGATCAGATGGTTGTAGATGTGTGGTGTTATTTCTGAGGCCTCTGTTCTGTTCCATTGTTCTGTACATCTGTTTTGGTACCAGTACCATGCTGTTTTGGTTACTGTAGCCTTGTAGTATAGTTTGAAGTCAGGTAGTGTGATGCCTCCAACTTTGTTCTTTTTGCGTAGGATTGTCTTGGCTATGTGGGCTCTTTTTTGGTTCCATATGAAATCTAAAGTAGTTTTTGAACTGTATGGTAGTTGGAAGTGCTCCTTGCAATGTTTGCTTTGCAAATATTTACTCATTGATTTAACCTACTACCATTATCAACTGCTGTCACTAACTGCTTCACCAAAACTTGGTTAAATAAATAATTATCTTAAGGGAACAACAGATACCACAGTCTACTTGAGGGTGGAGATTGTGAGGAAAGAGAAGATAAAAAAATTACCTACTGGGCACTATGCTTATTACTTGGGTGATGAAATAATCTGTATACCAAACCCCTGTGCTACACAATTTGGCTCTGTAACAAACCTGAATATGTATCCTGAACCTAAAATAAAAGTTAAAAAGAAATAACTGTCTTACTTGTTTTTATTAATCTATTTTAAGTGTATATACAGTTCACATTTATTACAATGTTTAATATTAGAAGCATATTGAGTCTCTATAAAGTTTGGTGATGTTTTTGTGATCAGAAATATGCTGTAAGAACGTAACTCTTGTTGATATCAATTAGCCTATGGTAAAATAGGTTTTGTTATACACACTTTTACTTAAAGTTGTAGTTTTCAAGAGCCTCCTGAGGATGTTAAGTGAGGACTTACTGTATGTTTAAGTGCTTATTATCTATCTCTACAAACAAGAATATAAACCCTTTAAGGCCAGGGACTTTCTCTGACCGGTGCCTCACATTATCCCCTTTATATCTTGGCTGGTGCAGAGTTGGTGCTCATAATTATTCATTGGCTGACTATGTAATCACCTAATTTAATAGCTCCTCCTCAAACCTTATTCTCCTTTAATTTTCAGACACTCTGACAATGATTTTATTTAATGTTAATGATATTGATTCAGTCTATTCTTTGGTATCATCTTTGTTATCTTTCATTTCCACCACCATATCCTCTCAGCCACCAATTTCTTGCTCTGCAAACTTTCAGACATATTTTCTACTCCATTTTCATGTCACCATTTTTTTTTTCTCAATAGAGAATTATTTATTATGTGCAAAACAGCACAATGAAAACATCCCCAACAACACATAAACCTATATATAAAATATAGAATATCTCCAATATTTTTACTTTGTATGGCAGCACGCCAATATATGCAAGAGAACATATTGATGGGGCAGGGGGAAAAACTGATCCGGGCAATGACACAGTCAGGCATTACATTGGGAGACCAGGTAAACAGCAATTTTAATCTGAAAAGCAGTATGAGAAGAGTTCCTATGAAGCTGGGATTTACATACTTCATTCTCCGTTCCTGGTCATTTCATCCACAGCTTGACTGTTGTCAATCATGGTTCCTTGCCTTTGGAGTGGTACTATAAAGGTACAGAGAATGCCCATCTCAGTACCAAAATTTCACCATGAAAAATCATAACAGAAATGACAAAGCTTAAAGAAAAGTATGCCGGATTTCAGAAGTATTTACCATAATAATTTTTAAGAAAGCTTACCATAAATACTTCCAAAAACAACAGGCTTTACAAAATATTATACAACATCCTGTGTACAGCAGTAAGTATCTACTCAGGCCATTTGTCAAGCTGTTTAGTAATTAGTTTCTCATGTACCCTCTTGTCTCAAGAAGGTCAATAATCATCTGATTTCCTCTCCAGCTAATGATCTGTTAGCCTACTTTTAACAATGGAAGAAGGAACTGGTATATGTTTTAAGTCAACCAGTTCTCCTTAAGTCTCATAGTTTCTGTTTCAACATCATGTTATTGTGTACTTACAGAAGCAATCTCTCAGTTAGGAAAAATAAAATCAGTTTCAGGGCTCAGAAAGTAAAAAGGGAAATTCTTTCCCAATCTCCCCCTCCCTCCCACCTGGCTTTTTTTGTTTAAAAAATTAAATTAAATTTAAATGTACAAGACCAAGCACAGGCACTTTCCAAAAAACAAAACTGAAGCCAAAGCACAAAACTACTCAATAGTTATAGAAGACAGCTCTGATTTTGGGGGGTCATCTCTGGTTGCCTCAGCACAAGCACTATGCTCATCCACTCAGGAATTAAACCATTTCAGTGTGACCGCTGTGGGAAAAAGTTCACCAGGGCTTACTCGCTAAAGATGCATCGCCTAAAGCATGAAGTGATTTCCTAGTACCGGACTACTTAAACCAGGAACAAGAAGAGACCCTTGTTCAATATGATCTTGGAGAACACGGTTTTGAAAGCAACTCCTCTGTTCAAATGCCTGTCATTTCACAGGTCTCCTCAACCCAGAATTGTGAAAGCACTTTTCCCTTGGGGTCTCTTGGTGGGCTGGCAGAAAAAGAGGAAGAAGTGCCAGAGCAGCCAAAGAGCAGTGCTTGTGCTGAGGCAACCAGAGATGACCCCCCAAAATCAGAGCTGTCTTCATGTCACCATTTTTAACTGGAAAATTCCAGCACCACTAGAGAGTCTCCTAGCCTCCTGCCATGCCTCTTGTCTGATCCATCCTGCATTGACTTAACAGTATTATCTTCATTGGAAGCAAAGTTCTGGTCACACAACTCCCAGTGGCATCTGTTGCTTATCCTCTAGAATTGTAGGCATTCTATGGTTTGGCTCCAATTGCTTTTTATTGCCTTATGCCTTATTGATTTTCTACATAACCTTTGTGCTGCAGTTAAACATTTTCAAAACACACTCTTCAGTTTTCATAGATATAAACAAAAATATAAGGAAATAAGTAAATATAAATATAAATACATGCCTTATCCAGTTCTTCTGGAATTTCTTCTCCCCTTAGCTGTCTAACCTATTGGTCAAGACTTTATTTAAATACTGCCTCTTCCATTGAGCTCTGTTGGAACATCCCAAATGGAAGTGACCTCTTTCTCCTTTAAATTCTCACATCACTTGCATTCCCTTCATGTCATGCTCCATGTTACATATTTTTATTAAGCACATTTGTATTTTTCTCTTGCTTACTAAATTACATATTTTTTTGAACACAGGAATATGGTTATTATATCTTTTTATGTCCTTAGTGCTTAGCAAATCATCCTTTCTTCTTCAGATTTGAGACATAATTTACATGCAATGAAATCCATTTTAAGTGTAGTTTGATGAATTTTGGTAATTGTATACAGTTATCACATCACAATCAAGAGAGAATATTTCTATTACTGTAAAAAGTTTCCATATGCATTTTTGAAATTTATCCATTTCCCCGGGATTAGATGATTACAGATCTTTCTGGAAAGATGATTTTGCCTTTTCCAGCATTTACACAAATAGAAACATACAGTTTATAGTTTTTTTGTATTTGACTGATTTCATTCTGCATAATGTTTTTGAAATTCATCCGTGGTGTTTTATGTTTTGATTAATTTCATGTGGTAATAGTGTCTTTTGTTGCTGGGTATAAATATACCACAATTTATTCACAAGCTAATGGATATTTTGATTGTTTCCACTTTTTATCTATTGCAAATATAGCTGCCCTGAACATTCATGTACAAGTTTTGGTATGAACGCGTGCTTTTATTTCTCTTGGGTGAATATCTGGAAATGCAATAGCTAAGTCATTATGGTAGATGTGTATAAACCTTTAAGAAACCTAAGACTGGGCTTGGGTGCAGTGGCTCACGCCTCTAGTCCCAGCATTTTGGGAAGCTGAGGCGGGCAGATCACTTGAGGCCAGGAGTTCGAGACCAACCTGGCCAACATGGCGAAACCCTGTCTCTACTAAAAATACAAAAATTAGCTGGGCATGGTGGCATGTGCCTGTAGTCCCAGCTACTCGGGACACTGAGGCACAAGAATTGCTTGAACCTGGGAGGTGGAGGTTGCAGTGAGCTGAGATCATACCACTGCACTCCAGCCTGGGTGACAGAGCGAGACTCCATCTCAAAAAAAAAAACAAAACAAAAAACAACAAACAAAACAAAACAAAAGAAATTTTAGAAACCTCAAGACCATTATAAGAAGTTACGGAGAAAGCTTAATATAGTATGGTGTCTCTAGGGGCCAAACAGATGTGTGTGCATTTTTAACATGTAGAATCAGAAGAAGGTACCAAGGAGAAGCAGGAGGCTAAGGGTAGATAGTACAATAAAAATTCATCATCCCTTGTTCATTCTGGACCCAAGCCAAGCTCTGGAACCCACTGACTATAAGGCAGCCTCACTCCTGGGAGGAACATCACAGCAACTCGCTAGCAATTGTAAAGTGTAATGATTTTCCCAGTCCTTCCCACCAAAATCTATGCCACTGACTCAGGGGGCTACACACTGAGAAGATGGAAATACCCAGACATTTCAAGGACTACTGGACACAGGCAGGAGTTGAATTTGACACTTGGGGAACCAATGCATCCTCATGGCTCCCCTGCTAAAATGGTAGCTTATGGGGGAGGGCAGGCAATAAATGGAGTTCTGACTAAAACCCAGTTTCCAGTGGTTTCATTGAGTCCATGAATCGACTCCCCAGTCATTTCCTAAAAGTGCAATCAGAATGGACACGTTTAATAGTTGGAATAATCCATTCACTGGGTCTTTGGCCTGTTGTGTAAGAGATAATATAGTGAGACAGACCAAACAGAAGCCTCTGAAACTGACCCACCCATACTGGTGAATACATGCGTAGAAAAAGATGTAGTAGTGAGAGTATGGCAGAGATTAGCGGGGCTGTGGTCTCCATCATTTTCTTATCTCCTTTAATTTGCCAGTCTGCCCCCACCCCCAGATATTAATGAATCCTGAAGAATAACTGTAGATGACTGCAAGCTCAACCATGTAGTAACCCCAGTTGCAGATATTGTACCAAATATACAGCCTCAGCTACATGATACTGCAGCATTAAATTG